>NC_000010.11:4100909-4252424 GCF_000001405.40 Homo sapiens | reverse complement strand
AGGGCCATGCAAGGATCCCCGTGGGCACAAGAAAACCCTGGCAAGATAACAGCAAGGAAGATTGTGCTACGCAGAGGCACATGCAAGCCCCACATCATAAAGGAATTGCTACTCTGTGGTCTCACATGTAACTACAGGACTGGCATGCCTGATGTATTAGCCTGGAAGATTCACCCCTGTCCTAGGGGAAACACAGAAGGGAGGATCATGTGCAATGAGGATGGTGGTGAGAATGACCCCCTCCTGGCTCAGGTGCAGGTGAGTCCCTCTTCCCTCAGATGCTTCACAGCCCTTCAGATTGGACTCAAGTTCTCTCCTCCTGGAAGCCTCCACTCCAGCTTTGATTTTTCCCTTCTCAAGTTGGCTCTGACTTTCTAGAAGATCCTAAGTAGGCTTCCTGTTAGGGTTCCAGAACCCTAATTGCCAATACTATTCAAATAGGCACTTATTATACACTTTATCACTTATGTGTTTCCTGTACAAATTCTTTTGACTTTTTAGAAAAAAATATCGCATAAATTCTTTAGGCATGGAGAATGCCTACCCTAAGATTTGCTGTGTTGTTTTGTTTTGTACCCTTGCCCTGTGAGCCTTACTCAGTTCTACAAATAAATGGCATTTCGATCTGCAAAGAAGTGACTCAAGCAAGTGTAAAACAAGAAACAAACAAGCACATATGAGTAGAAAATAAACTACTCTAACAAATTGACCTCAAATGCAATGGTTCATTGCAATACCACATAGAAGTTTCCTTCTCTGTCCAGTGGTAGTCTAGGGTGGATAGGCAGGTCCATCCACAAGGTATCAAATCCAGAACCAGGTGACCTGAGCAGCTCACCATCCTCAAAACACATTATCCTGAGATGCTCCAATCTTTGCAACTTACATCTAGCAGGAAGGAAAGAGGTCTTTTAGATTCAAGTTGAGCATATCATGGGTGCTCATAGTCTCCTGATGAGAACTGGATCCCATGGTTATGTGGGAGCTGGGAATTACAGTCTTCCTGGACACCTCTGACCAGGAAGAATGAGGAACTGATGTGTGCAGAGAAATGAGTGTCTCCTCCACCAAGCTCACCTCTTTGATACTCTCAAGCCTATTTGCTAGCTCCCATCAATCCATTATAAGCCCTTCCTTTTGCATCTCTACCATAGGTAGAAGTACGGAAAACATTCTAAGAAAATGTTACTTCCAAAACTGTCGAAAAATAATTATCTGGGATTTGTGTATCTGCAATAGAATAGAAAACTACTCCACTATCCCTGTACCCCCACCATAGACCAAAGAAAAACAATGGTTTAACTTTTTGAGCTAAAATAAAAGAATCATGATGAAAGAGCTATTTACAAATATGACATTCTTTTATGTACTTTTAGATAGAAGACATTTATCAGCAATGGTATCTAAAAACTGCAAAAGTAATTTATTGCTGAGCAGGGACAATGCACATTAAATTAATTTTTAATTTTAGGACTTACAAAATATGACAAAGGAAGAACAACAGAAAACTTGCATAACCCAATTGAAAGTAGGTAAAAGACTTGAATAGATATCTCCCTAAATAAGGCATAAAATAAGCCAATAAACTCATGAAAATTGTTCAACATCACTAATCACTATGGAAATGCAAATTAACACCACAGTGAGATATTGCCTTATATGCATTAGGATGACTACTATTAAAAACAAGAACAGAAAATAAAACAGAAAGTAACATGAGTTGGCCAGGTGTAAAGCCGTTGGAAACCTTGCATACTGTTGGTAGGAACATAAAATAATGACGTAGCCACTATGAGAAACTATGGTGGTTCCTCAAGAGTTAAAAATGGAATTATTACATCATTCAGCAATTCCATTTATGGGCATATATACTTGAAAGAAGTGAAAACAGAATATTGAAGAGATATTTGTACACCCATATTCATAGCAACATTATTCACAATAGCCAAGAAGTGGAAGCAACCCAAATGTTCTTTGGTAAATGAATAAACACAATGTGGTGTCTACATACAATGGAATATTTCTTGGCCTCCAAGAGGGAGGACATGTTGACACATGCTACACAGATATTTTAAGACCGAGGTGTAGATACTGCAGGGAAGTAGAGCAACACAGGCCAAGGAAGACAAAAGACTGAGTGAGACCAAATGGCGATGAGTATCTACCCTGAGGATATGATATTTGAGCTCAGGTTTGAAGGATGAGTAGCAGTTAGCCAGAGAAAAAGGGACTCTGAGGGATGTGGCAGTGGGAGTAAGACTGAGATCTTATGTACGAAAGTCCCTGGCAGGATAAAAATTGGCACATTGTAGGACCCAATGTCTCTGAAACACAAAAAGCAAAGGGACAGCAGAGGGACACAGCCACATGAGACAAGAGGTAGCCCACGGAGAGGTCATGAGTAGGCTTTTGCTTTTTAAGAGGCAAGGGAGAGGTCAGGCACAGTGACTCATGCCTATAATCCCAGCACTTTGGGATTACTTGAGGTCAGTTGTTTGAGACCAGCCTGGCCAACATGGTGAAACCCTGTCTCTCCTAAAAATACAAAAATTATCCAGGCATGGTTTTGGGCACCTGTAATCCCAGCTACTCAGGAGGCTGAGGCAGGAGAGCCGCTTGAACCTGGGAGGTGGAGATTGCATTGAGCTGAGACTGTGCCACTGCATTCCAGCCTGGGTGACAGAATGAGGCTGTCTCAAGAAAAAGAAAAAAAGGAAAGGGGGAGATAAAAACAGAAGGATTTTAAAATAGTGGAGAGGGTCATGTAAAAAACATTTTTATCTTGAAAAACCCTTCTGGCTACAGCATGGAGAAGTTCCTAGAGGACTCTTGGAATGGGTGCAAAGATAACAGCTAATAGCTTTCTCAGTATCTGGGGCAACAGATGATGGCAGGTTGGGCCAAGGTATGGTAACTGAGATGGGAATGACCCAGTGGCATCACGGGGAGATTGTAGGTGTGCAGTAGGATATGGGTTTTCCAATTTCAGAAGAGCTGTAGCGCTCCTTTGTTATTTTAGTGTTTCATTGATGTTGAGCTGACAATGGGAATTGTGGGAGTGAATAGGAAGAGTCTAGAGTGAATATGAAGATGACCTGCACTTAAGTAACTCCAACACAGATTGTTCTATGTTTAGAGGTGACACTGAAAAAAAATAAAAATAAAAAAGACTGAGAAGGCTAAGTCACTGATGTCAGACAAAAATCAGTGCAGGTCGTCTACTTGAAACCGAAAACATAAGTGTTTCACAAAGGAGAGATCAGTAGTACAAATGCTCTTTCATAGTTAAGGAAGATGCATGGAAGTTGTCATTAGATTTGCTGGCCTGGGAATCATTGGTGGTCAGGAATATATCAGTGGAGTTAAGGGGGTGGCGGTCAGGCTGAGGGATTAAGACGTGAAAAGTTGGTGAGAAGACAGCGGCAAAATATAGTCTATATTCTTGAGACACTTCCCTGGGACAGGGGAAAGATGGGTCTATAAGTAGGGAGGGATTTTGTTTGCCTGTTGTTTTTTCAAATGACCTAATAGAGATAGGTTTTAAAAATATTAAACTAATATATTTTCCTATATATTCTCAATGAAACATGTTCTCTGGCGCTGTTCAATCACCACAGCTCTAGGAAAGAGGGAGAGCAGAAGCCAACAGAGGACGGGAGGAGATAAGAAATAGGGTAACACCTGGACAGAAAGGTGGAAGCACGAGAGATGGAGACAGAAGGGGGCAATGTTGGGGCACACATTCTCCGACCCTCTTTCAGAAGGGGAAGGATTTTGAGCAGCAGCTAGGAGGAAAGGCTGTCTCTCTGGGATGAGAGAGAAGACTGATGAACAGGGTGCCCACTTACCCACTTATGATGCTGCTGTCATTACCTATAATGCAGTATCTGTGAGCATGCAGCTTGGTGAGGCGGGGAGAGCCTGGGGTGATCTTTCCTGAGGCATCCTTAGGGTGTCTGCAATATGATAGCAATGCAGTTGTTTTCCTTTGCCCAAAGGATTAGGAGGGTTCTGAGTACAGAGCCAAGGAGCTTTTCTGGAGGTGCTTCAACAAACCAGCCGAAGTCTGCAGGGAGAGCTGCACTGGCTGAGGACTGAATGGGGTCAGATCCAGATGCCAGGGTGTACGTACTGACCTCAAGGCCTGATATTAGATAGATAGAGTCCAGCTAAATCACCAAGTCATGAGAATACACTGAACTCACCACTCAGAGAACTGGAATCAAGTGTCACTAGGGCGTCTAGCAACCAGAATGACAAGGAACATCTTCAGGGACACACAAGAAGCGTGAACCAGGAGAAGGAGTTATGCACGGGGCCCAGGCAATTCCCCCTTGCTCAGGAACCTGGAGGAAATCTGAGTTGATGAACAAGACCATGTTTCCTGAACACACTTTAACATTTAGAATCAGTCTTAACTTTCTGGATTGGGTATTAAGGGGAAGTTTGAATCAGCTTTAAATTAATAAATAAGCTTCTGTTCTTTGTATGTGATGTGCTCTTTGAACTTGATGTGCAGAATTTGGGAGCCTCACTAAATGGGGAAGATGTGGGCGCATTGATTAATGAGGATGGTCCAGGTAAGAGTGAGCTGATGAGTGTAAGGGAGAGAGATTTTCATCGTAGGATACGAAGCTGCTGAACGTTAAAAAGTTAAAATGTTTCATCCAAACTTTTTTCATGCCACCCCACAAAATCATCTTCTAAACAATTAGTTTGGGACTTTCTGTGTGGGCCCCCCCTTTTTTTTTAATTACAACACCATCACCTTTTGCCTTTCCCTAAATCAACACACTAAAGTCCTGCTGACATAATCTGCTTCCGGAGAAGAGGTTCTGCATTGTGTCTACAAAGTTTCCGTCAAGTGAAAGTTGGCAATGTAAGTCTGTGTGAAATTGTACCTCCATAGAAGCAGATTTTTGAATACCTTTCTTCATCAAAATGCTGGCAGCGAGAAGTAATCCTGATCCCACTGTATTTACTTGTCGATCCTGAATAAGCAATGCTGCATTTTTATTCGATCATAACTTAGACAGTTGCTCCATGCCCTCTCCCATGCCTTACCCTTGTGTGTGTTCATCCTCAAAGCAGGACCAGTGTAAGAGAAAACCCAGGGTACATGGAGCCATGTTTGCCCAGCTTCTTTCTTTCTTAGGTTTCTTTTCCTCTCATACCTTCAATGGGAAGCCAGAGCTTCTCTAACCTCAAATTTCATTATTTCTTTGCTCTCCCAATCCCAAGCCAGTAAAGCACTGACCACAAAAATTAAACTAAAAATTAAACTACGTTGGTGCAGTGATTCATCTCATCCTCTTGTGTTACTCATCATGTAGTGAGTACCCCTGAGATTAGAACAGGAAACAGACAAGGATCCCTAAATTACTTATTTGACAATGAAATCGTATTCATCACAGAAGGTCAGTAGAGAAACTTAGATGTGTAGCTCATGGCCACGTGTGCCATGTTTTACTTAACAATGATGTTGTTGAGGATGGTGATGATAAGATAAAGAAATATTCTGAAAACCTTCGTGGAAGAGCAAGTGGAATTTGATAGCAGTGTGCTGGTTTTTAAGAATGCCTCTAGAGGACTTAAAAATAGCCATTAAGCAGTTTTGCTGAAGCAATTAGAAAACCTTAGAAGAAAGTCCTCAGACATTTAATCAACGTTCCCTATAGCTGCATCCTAAAAATAAACGTGAAGAAAAACAAGAATATACTCTGCATTGCAGTAGGAAAGTTTGGAAGGCAGAGAAAGATAAAAAGTTGCAAAAGAAAATGGAAAATGAAAGCAAAGTGATGTGATAACTTTGTAAGGTAGCATCTAGGCTCAAACGAACTACATTCTCAAGGACAATCTTTCCTATGTTTCTTAATGTTTGTAGCCACTGTTGTGGAAGATTTAGCCTGGGGAAATGGAGGAGCAGCCTTTCCTCTAAAAAAACAAGTTAATATAGGGTCTTGCTCTGTTGCCTTGGCTGGATTGCAGCAGTGCAATCTCAATTCACTGCAGCCTCTGCCTCTTGGGCTCAAGTGATCCTCCCACCTCAGCCTCCTGAGTAACTGGGACCACAGGCATGCATCACCAAGCTCAGCTAATTTTTAAATTTTTGTAGAGATGAGGTTTTACTGTATTGTCCAGATTGCCTTTAAAAAAAAAAATCTTACATACATTGTCACTTATCTGCAGATATTGATGGGAGGCACCAGCCGAACTTGCATCTTCCTCTTTTTGAAGCTTCTTTGATTCCTGGGCTAGATGTGTGTGTGTTTAGCTCCATGACACAGAGTCCCGTCCTCTGCACCCACATAAGCAAAGGTGGAGGTGATGAGAACTGACATGAGCTCAGTCTGTCATTTGGGCTTCAACCTGTGCTTCTGGGGCCCAGCTCACCATTCCTCCTCCACCCTATACCCATGTTTTCTTCTCAGGTGTCCAGTCTATGGACTTCAAGATCCAGCATTAGACACAAAGGCAACTCTGCAGAGATGGTTTAACCAGCTCCCAATGTTGTGTAAGGTCAAATACCTGAAGACAAATCTGTAGAGTTGCTATATTTCTGGTTTAAACCTGACTTACACAGAATTTGGTACTAAGGGTGGTTTCAGAGGAATGGGATCTTAAGGGTACAGTTTTTGAGTTGTTTCTGTGTGTGTGTGTGTGTGTGTATGCGTGTGTGTGTGTGTTTGGAATTGTTTTTCTGATCTGATTAGATTTAAAAGCACTAAGTACCCTATTCACAGTGGTAAAAGAGGGGTAAGTAGTTCCTAGCATCAGATGGAGAGGTCAGAAAAAAAAAGAAAGAAAGAGAGATAGAGAGACAGAGAGAAAGAGAGAGGGGAAAGAAAGAAGGAAAGAAAAGGAAGAAAGAAAGAAAGAAAGAAAGAAAGAAAGAAAGAAAGAAAGAAAGAAAGAAAGAAAGACTCAAATTATCACCTTTACACATCTTTTATTAAGTGCCCATCTGAGTAACCAAGAATTTATTGAGTTTGACCATTTTAATGAAAATGATGAATATAATTGTGTTGGTTGGCTAGTTCTAACTACACTGGAGAAATTCAGGGCTTTAAGTACCAAGATCAAGTTCTATATAAGGGTCCTGAAAGCTTCTAGATTGGTCCTGAAAGAAATCCTATCTCCTGTAGCCAGAGAGCCAAGGTTTTTGAACAGGAAACCCAAAGTTTCATCCTGTGGGTGGCTGAATTATAGCCAAAATTGAATTCCAAACCTCATAGAGTCTCTTTTATTAAATTTAGGACATTTACTGGGAAGGAGTGGGATTCTGAGGTTTGGGAAGGGAATATATGAGCAAATTCTAGTTAATCTGGAAACCTAGAGCCCTTAATTCTGACAGCTTTCCTTGCCTTCTTGGCCAGTAGAAGCAGTCTGCAGCCGTGCCTGAGGAAGTTAGTCTCCCTTTTCTTGAAGAATCTCTAATGCCCACCACCGCCCATTAGTACTGCATTGAGAGCCCTACTAATCTTCATTAAGTTCTACTCCCACTCCTTTTTCTTCCTTTTAGACCTAGAGTTGACTCAAGTCTCAAACCTGTGATGGGATATGATACACATCCAAAGAGTTGCATGATCTGCCAATTAATATCAACAAACCCTGGGAAATAAGAATGACAATGTATCTTAAGAGTGTGGGATTAAGATGGAAATAATATACAATTGTATCATGGTATATGTTTTGAAGCGGATTTATTGATTCAGTGTCTTAGCTTGAGGGTCTAATAATGGCACTAATAATTTTCTCAATCGGTTGGCTGAATCATGGAACCAGAGGTGACCTATACGACTTGAGGTTAAAATGTCAGAACGTTCTTGGTATAACATCGAGAAACATACCCAAAGGCTCAGGGAAGTTAGAATGCAAGAGTGAGTTCCTGTAGCAGACCTGCTCACCCACCTGGATGTGCCTTTCCCTCAGCTGAGCCGCAGTGCAGACTTCATACTCAATTGTAAGCCATGGCATTACCAGTCAACGTGAGCCATCATGAACCCGTCATTATCTGATGTACTTTTCCAAGGATTTTATTACATGTTATTGCAACTCAGGGAGATAGGCAAGATTTATTCTATTGCTACTTTTCTGAGTTGAGAAAATTGAAGTTCACTTAACATTATGCATTTTGAATATTGATAAAAATAGTACATGTATCTGTGTAGCTATCAATTTGAATAGGTGAACAATCACGATAATAATGGATCGATAGTAAATTTATTCAGTTATGAACAGTGCATTCAACCACATCTAAGGATAAATATTAAGCAAAAACAATTCAAGTCACAAACTTAAAATACTCTAAGTAAGGTCATGCCAAACTACTTTAAGAATATATCTGTGGTAAAAATACATTCTAGGCTACATTACATAGAGTGAGATTTGTGGGAAATAACTTGCCCTTTTCTTCTATTAAAGGGCAGAGTTTTTTGGAAAAAAAAAAAGATAGTTCAATTTCCTCTCTCCAAGCTGTCTTTTTAAAATAACATAACATAACACATAGTTTGACACAACTCCACATGACTCAGAAGCCCTTCTTAAAATAAGACCAGACCACATTCATGGAGGCTGAGTCACCTCTAACCTTCCAAACTTGGTGAGGATTACTAACCAGAACATATTTTTATTCCTAAGATAGTATGAGAAAGTTCTGATCTTGACAGTTCACGTAACATTCAATCAATTATACCATTGCTCTATCTCTAAAGTTTTCTTTTTCTCCTTTTCTCAGTGTCTTACCAAGAATGAAAGGCAACCTATGTAAAAACTATGGGCTTTCTAGTATAAATAAAAACTACTCATCTCCAGAAAATAAACAATGACTGCTAAGATGATTGAAAAAAGAAAGGAGAAGAAAGTAGCTTGTAAAAGCGTGTGAAATGCATTCACGTTGGAATCTCCTACAGGCACTTCAGGTAAGAATTCTACCTTATCCTCTGTGTTTTACTCCAGAAAAGCATTTCCTTTTCCAGATCCAGGAAAAAAAAAAACTTTTTAAACAAAATTCAGCATTTTTTAATTAAAAATTGACACTAATGCGTATATCCTAGACTGCACTGCATTGCATATTATGCTGTTGTGTGTGATAAGTTTACGTTTTCACGATTCTGTCTGAAAGCTTAAAGATGTATGTTTTACAAAAATAGCTCTAGTACAATAGGACAATAAAACGTGAACTCTTGAAGATCTGAATTGGAATTATTTTCTGACAGACTATATTTTCAATTTCTTTATTTGATAAATGAAGATGGATAACATTGACCTCATGTGTAACTACAACGAATTCAAGGGTGTGGACATGTTTTTCAGGTCTTCAGACTGTAAACATTTTAAGTGTGATTGCTGTGAATGAAGGAAACCCAGAGCCATCATGACAAGCCTAAACTCAAAGGGGACTGATTTCTTCTACACTGAATGTTTCATTAGTGACAGGGCCCAGATAATAAAGAATTGTGCTCACTTCCTGTGAGTGATGGCTTTCCCTCAATTGTATGCTGAGTAACATTTACAGTATTCATTTTTAAGCACCCATCTTCCTGGGAGCCCTATTTCCCCTAAGCTTTCAATTGATCCTCCTAAGAGCAGAGATCACTTAGGCACTGAGCTATGCAGCTGCTGCCTGAGTCTCCTGGACGCCTGCCCTCACCTCCAGCCACATGAAAAACATTCAAGCTTTAACTTCAGAAATGTTCTCTAACCCACTCCCAGACACCCAACTGATTAAATCATAGATTAGAGGAAAAAATTCTTGCCTGAAATTGTCATCTTGCACGTATGCTGATGTCCAGAAGGACACATCCTGGTGGGAAGTGACTGCATGTTTTGTTCATATTACAAGTCCTGTTGACAAAAGAGAATAATACAGGTGTCCTCCTGAAACTGTCACCACAGTGACCTTCCTCAGTCAAAAAGAAATATAAATATTATTGTGTTTCTCGTGTCTGAGGCACCTCTGAAAGCATTTATCTTTTCAGAGAGTTCAGCACTTCATCTCACGGGTTAATTAAACCAACCTGTAGTGGCAAAGTTTAGTGGTAGTGAAAATAAACATAATCCTCTTTCTGTTGCCCAACCTTTCAGTTTCATTTTGTAATTTTTCAATACAGGGGCACAATAAGTGATAATCCTGGATTCCAAATGATTTCCACTTCTTTCTCTGCCACCTTCCCTGCCCCAACACCTGCCATCCCTCATTTACACAATTCAAGTAATCAAGGGGCAGTTTGGCTCCCTTTTTCTGGAGGCAAACTTTTGCAGAGTTTTAACTTACTCAGTGGGAAGAAAAGCCCCCAAAACACTGAAGCATACCAAGCAAATAAATAAATAAATGCACAAAGGCTCCCTGCGGTTGTCTGACGAGGATACTGGAGCAAGCAGCCTGAAGAACAAACGTCTGACTGTTGAAACAGCGAGACAGGAATAAACCCATGGGGCCACATCTGGGAGTGTGAGTGTGTGAATGGAACTAAGCTGGTCTCCCACACAACAGGAATTCCACCAAAAGTATGCGCTCTGTATGGGAGGACAGAAAAAAAATGTGTTTAAAATATCACTAAGGAAACCCAGATACATTATCTCTGCCAGACTACAGAAGACAGTACAGTTAGTGCTTGTCTCAAAATGACAGAAACAGAGAACATGCTTTGATGATGTCGAAGATGCAGGAAAATAGAAAAATAAAAACGGTGGAAAGATTTTTTTTTAATGCCCTAAAATGAGCAAGACGCCTCCCTTTTCATAGCACCAGGAGACATTTCCATTGCTTTTTTTTCATGCTTGTGGCTTTTTGAGGGCAAAGAGTAAGTGAAATCCAATAATTTGGTCTTTCTGCTCCAAAGTTTTGGCTGCCATAAACTTATTGTTCGAATATCAGAATGGTTGTTCCTGCTTTGACGCCTGTGAAACAATTTGTTTCAATATCATAGCACAGTTTTAAAAGTATGTTTTGACTCCAGAAATATGTTTGACCTCAGAATTTTGAAAGCGTGTTTTGACCTTTAAACTCTTACTTCAAGAAGACATATGTGTGCATGTGTGTGTTTGTAGGGTGTGTGTGTGTGTCTTGTAGAATCTCACATTTTATTCAGTAGCTTAGCTCCATTTCAATGCCAGTTAAATTTTAGCATTATAATAATACAATGAATTACTCTCTAAAAATAGGTTGAAATGTATTTCTATTTGTGAAGTTTAGGCAAATGACACCATCTGCAATATCCTTTAACAGATTAGCTATTGTAAAGGCATCATCTTTAGGAATAATACTTTTCTGCATCATAATAATTTCCTGTTATTCCTAAGGCAAGTGCTGGATGATTGTTGTTTCAGTGTGGATCAGCCTGACTTCAATCCATCTGTGCTTCCCAGGGCCGACTCCTGAATTCCTCCTCCATGCCATCATACCTTATTGGCTCTCCTGCTGTTACGTTCAGTCATAATGTTAAAAACTCAGACTATTAAAATGTAAAGATATGAATTCTTTTTGAAATTGTCAACATGGAAGAGTCTATCTACAGTCTGCTTTTAATTTAGCCGCAAAATGACTTAGCTGATGCAACAATTTCACATGCTGAGGAAGAGTTTTCGATTGCCGAATTAGTGTGATAAAGTGATGGTGAGGTTTTCTGTTGACTCTGGAAGCAACAACAAAAATGGTGGTGCTCTTCTCCATACCCATGTTCATAGATATATCGTTACAGATGACACTCAAACTTTGATTTTTTTTCTTTTTTGGCTGACTGCTTGAAACACATGTAGCCCCAGGAAACAAGTAGAGCCACCCCAGGGAACTAAAAAACAAGTGAGTAACCGAAGACTCTAAACCATGTGCAGTAGAAATCCTTGACTCTTGTTACAGAGATGCCTGGAGGTTAATCCACATGACAGGGATGAATTATCTATTGATGGGATATTTTTAAAATATCACCCAAAAGTTTGTAAGCATATACATAAAATTAATTCAAATAATTTAATGTGAAAGCTGAAGAATGAATCAGTAAATTTTAAGAAAAAAGTAAACCCAGATAATAAGACAAATTGTAGATAAGAACAATCACAAATTGTTGATTCTAACATGCAGTTTTCTACTGCTTAAAACCCTTTGAAGTCTTAACCAAATACACTGTCACCATTTTTATAAACTCATTTATTGTGAACCATTTATTAATTGATACACAAGCACACACTTTTTAGAGGTAGATATTGCAATAAATAATTCTGACACTTTAGTTAACAGTTTAATCAACTAAAAGATAAATTCCCGACAAATGTGTTAAATGACAAATTTTATTTTTCATCATAACCCACGTTTGAGTCTACAGGTGGTAGTTACAATATCTAAAGAGAAATTTATATCATATGTCACTGGATAAAACAAGAGGCATGGTCTGACTTTGGGAAAGGCTGAATATATAGCACAGACAGGCACTTTTTAATGGGCTTTTGCAGGCCTCAATAATCATTTTCCAAATACATTTGCAATAAGTTTCAAATAACACACTTCAAATTAAAGATCATGTAGATTCAAATGTTTTACTACCAATATTTATCCATTTACATACCATAAAATTGCAAAATTGAACATTCGTACAAAAGCATTTTAAAATGCCCCTGACTAAAATAATATTTTCTGCAAAAATACAAGTCATAGACTCTTAAGGACCCTGACAATTTTTTTTCTGCATTAGAACACAAGGAACACAGAAAGGTATAAGCACAACAAAAATATCATCAATAGATTCTGTTATTCTACTTAAGGCCAAACCAATTCTCAAGCTAAATTACACTGCAGATAATTCGGAATTAAACAGGCTTTTGTTTGCCCAGCTCTCCCACCTTCCACCCAAGTTCTTGATGTTTCAAGTTTTTCTATTTTTATATCTGGTATATGGGGATTTTTATATGAGTAACTATTCTTGTTATAAAATAGCAAGAATGATCAGTAACATAATCAACAGCAGTTAATTTGGCATTTATGATGTAAAATTGCCTGCAAGAAATACTTGTAACCAATAAAGTATGCAACCTAATTTACACCAGCAATAACAGCATTTTTCTATTAACTTGTAGGGCGATGAGTTTCTACCGTGGGGATTCATTTCCTAGCCAGCTTGCACGGGGATGAAAGGAAAATGCATATCTCCTATTTTACAGCAGGCAAAGAATATAGACAACTAATGGGAGGGTTAATCCTGAAGAGGGTTAAAAAAATACAATGTACATTTATTTATAACAACAATATAAAATTGATTTTTGCAGAACAGGTAAAAATACAGATATGACGCATGATTTTCTACATCAAACTCTGTGACACCTCCCTTACATACCATGCATCATTATCCTAACAACATCCTACTCTTTCTCTCAATCCTGACAAACAAATCACAGTATATGTGTCATCTTAATTCTCAACTAATTTCCATCATGTTTTGACTGTCAACTTTAAAGTTAGGCAAAAGATCCAAGACTAATATCCAAACTGTTTAGCAACCATGATGGTACAGGCAATGAATAATCCACAAAGATTGGCTGAAAGCAACAGAAAGCACACAGGTGTGAGCCGACAGAACATTAGCCTTCATATCACCGAAGCCCGTCTTAAACCAGCACTAGCTCTCTCTGGCCGCCTTCCTGGGGAATGGAGGGAGGGTATCGTGGAAAGGCAGAGTATTGTGGTCAGGATGGCCTGTGCAGGACCTCATGCAATTGCTGTCTCCCTGTTTCTTCCTGGGCAAATCCCTGAGACTCACTGGGTAGACATCTTCATCTGAAAGAGAGGGTTCATAGAAAATAATCCACACTTCTGGATGTGAAAAAACCATGAATGAAGGATTGGTCATTACATCATCCATAGAATGTTTACCTCTACTAGGTAGCAAAATCGAAAAGTCAGAACAAACAAAACAAAACAAAAGCACCCAATGCCTGGTTGGGAGCGCTAAGCTGTCTCCTCACTGAAGTTCTCTTGTACTCCCTGCACTAACTTAGCCACGCACTTCCTCATAGCCAGATGTCCATTGACAGGCTGGGCACACAGGCAGCCCAGTCCACAGCCCCCGGGCACAGTGGGCACACCAGTATGTGACCATGCACACACGGGCAGTGCTGCTGCTAGGGACAAGGAAGGCAAGACCCTGAAGCAAAGCTTGGTGTAAAGACTGTTTCTGAGGTCACCCTTGGCTGGTGAGACAACTGTTCCCCAATGTCTTCACGGAAAGGAAAAAAGGGACCCTACATTCTTAGAATGCTAGAATAACCCTGGTATATGCTTGGTGCTGGCCATGAGAATGGAAATATATCTCTGTTTGATTGTAAATTCTGTCCCAAGACCCATAAGAGGGCATGTCTTGCACACCTGCATGGCACGGTGCTGAGTAAGGCTCTGAGCCAAATGACTGTGGGAGGCTCTGCCAGTCTGCACTGTTACGGGCTCTCAGGGTTTGCACTAGGCTGAGGTTTCCAGGTAACATTAATACTGGGAACACTGCTGTGGACCCTAATAACAAAGGGAATGCGAAATGGGTCTAGGAGCAACAAAAGCAGTAACAGTAAAAACTGAGACACAACCATTTCTTTTCTGAATTTAAAAAAATATAGTTACAATCTTTAAGGAATCTCCACTCTGTTTTCCATAGTGGTTATACTAGAAACATTCCCACCAGCAGTGTAGAAGTGTTCCCTTTTAACTGGATCTACACCAATATCTATTATTTTTTGATTTTTTCATTAAGGCCATTCTTGCAGGAGTGAGGCGGTATCTCATGGTGGTTTTGATTTGCATTTCTCTGATCATTACTGATGTAGAGCATTTTCCCATATGTTTGTTGGCCATTTGTATATTGTATATCTTCTTTTGAGAATTGTCTATTCATGTCCTTAGCCCACTTTTTGATGGGATTGTTTGTTTTCTTGCTGACTTGTTTGTTCTTTTCTTGCTGACTTGTTTGAGTTCCTTGTAGATTCTGGATATTAGTCTTTGTTAGATTTATAGATTGTGATGATTTTCTCCCGCTCTGAGGGTGGTCCATTTACTCTGCTGACTATTGCTTTTGCTGTGCAAAAGCTCTTTAGTTTAATTAAGTCCCACCTATTTATCTTTGTTTTTGTTGCATTTGCTTTTGGGTTCTTGGTAATGAAGTCTGCCAGCAATCCCACTACTGTGTATCTACCCAGAGGAAAAGAAGTTATTATATGAAAAGGACATCTGCACATGCATGTTTATAGCAGCACAATTCACAATTGCAAAAATATGGAACCAGCCCAAATGCCATCAATCAATGAGTGGATGAAGAAACTGTGGTAGACATATACGACGGAATACTACTCAGCCATGAAAAAGAAATGAATTAATGGCATTCACAGCAACCTGGATGGGATTGGAGACTATTATTCTAAGTGAAGTAACTCAGTAATGGAAAACCAAACATCACATGTTCTCACTCATAAGTGGGAGCTAACCTATGAGGATACAAAGGCATAAGAATGATACAATGGACTTTGGGGACTTGGGTGAAAAGGTGGGAAGAGGGTAATGGCAAAAGGACTACAAATCAGGTTCAGTGTATACTGCTTGGGTGAAGGGAGGAACCCGAATCTCACAAATCACCACTAAAGAACTTACCCATGTAACCAAATAGCCCATGTTCTCCAAAACCTATGGAAATAATTTTTTTTTTAGAAAAAGGTCCAATCAGTTTGTTAAAATAACCATCTTTCAATCTCTAATTTCAAAAAACAACACATCTTTATTTTCGGAACCATGTCAGATTAAAGTCCTGAGAGAGAGAATCTTTCTCTTAAGGAAGGGTCAATGAAGAGTTAGCTTTCTGTCTCAGTCTTAACTGTAATTCTAAAGTTTGCTTTTGCTCACCATTTTATCCACATAAATTAAATATCGGTTAACACATTTAATTATAGTTTTTTTTTTCAAAATTGAGTACGTTTACTGATTTTGCCTTATTAAGTAACATATACTTGGTGTTAAAAACAAAAAACCTACACACTCACAACACACAAACGTACAGAAATTTAAATTCAAATGAACAGAAATTTAAATTCAAATGTAAATTCTACTCACCCCCAAAAACATTCTACCTCTTGCAATAAGAACCACATAAAACGTTATTATTATTCAGAGTGCTTTTATGCCTGATCAGTAGTGATGCCTGGTAGAATTTTTGACGTGACATACTGTCAGGAAAAGGGAAAACAGCTGCTCTGGAGTTATGTTACAGGTTCTCTGTGCCAACCTGGAAGAATCAAGACCGTCAAAAGCAATCAAACTAACACCTAAGTCCCCATTCATTGTGAGTGAAGGTGTTTTGCCAGAGTGCCAGTGGAAATTTCTGGGGACGCTGCTCTGGCAAGTGACAAGAGTAGTGACTTGGCTTCTCAAATTCTCATCTTTCTGGTCAAAAAATGGTTGGAAGATTTTGTCCAACTAGAAAGGTTTTGAGATTCATTTTTCCAATGGAGAAGCATTGATTCATGTAAACCTCAAAGCCTGGTAAGCTAAGCCACTTTTAATAGAACTGTAAAGTCCAAGAGAGAAGAAAGCAGAGAGAGTTTTCTAAACTATGGCTTATTTGATAAGTCTCTGTAAATGAAACTTGTCCCCTGAACACATTTTGTGTTTCTTTAGGTCAAAGACTACCGATGTCCAGATCATAATGCGAGGACAGTTTGAGCCCAGTGCTCTCTGACTGAGGTAGAACCCCCGGGAAGGTGAAGAGGGCAGCCGTCTGCGAAACAGCCCAGCATTTAAGAATGGGCAGCACCTGGCCAGGTGCATTTGAGAACTAGGAATGTGGCAACAATAACATTTATTTATTTGGATGAAGAGAAGAAGATGTATTGGATTCCCTGAAACAATCATTGACCTGCCTGAATCCCAACTGTTGCACTGACTCCACTAATTCACCAATCCACTTGAGCTGGGAGGAGAGCCCATGCACAGAAGTTTATGGATAAACAGACCTGAACGTCTAGCATGATGTCAAATTTATATGGCCACAGAACTACAAAAGGAAATAACTATAACCTCACTGACCACAGTGCTGCTGACACTTGGACAACATGGGTTTGAGCTTCATGGGTCCACTTAGACAATAATTTTTTCACTAACTATATTGGAAATGTTTTTGGAAATTTATAACAGTTTGAAAAATATTGTAGACCAACATGTAGCCTAGAAATATTAAAACATTAAGAAGCAAGTATGGCATGAATACATAGAATATATGTAGATACTATTCTATTTTATCATTTACTACTATAAATATATGCAAATCTATTAAATGAGGTTAACATTTATCAAAGCATGTGGTCACAAACTCTTATAGTTTGTACATGGCACCATTTACAGACAAGGAAATAGAAGCCAATGTAAAAATGCAGTATTAAGTCATAACCGCATAAAAGTAACTGTGGCACATACTGCACTACCATGATAATTTCACAGGCACCTCCCACTGCTATTGTGGTGAGCCCACGTGTTGTGAGCTTCCGCATAAAGCCCTGCAATTCTGATCATTGCCACGTGGGCAGTTTGTGTCTCTAGTTAGTTGTGTACTGTAGTAAAAAGTGATCTCGCAGTTCTTGCATAATTTCCGTGTTTAGTGCGATATGGTAAACATTGAATAGCACCATGAAACCCACACGAAGGGCCACTGGTGATGTTGGAAGGCTCCCAAGAAGCAGAGAAAATTCATGACATTACAAAATCAGTCAAATTTCTTCATATGCACTGTAGATTGAGGTCTGCAGCTGGGGTTTCCCATTGTTTTAAGATAAATGAATCAGCCTAAAGATCATTGTAAAAAAAGAAAAAGATATTGGAGAGGCTATAACTGCAGCTATGCCAGCAACAGCAGTAGTTACATTTCTGAAGAGACAAAATTTGTCAGTGGGTTTTCAAGAGCTCAAGGGTAACACCCTAACCCCCACGTTGTTCAAGGGTCAACTGTATTGCAGTCAAAAACAGAAATTTAAAAAAAAAATTCCTTCAAAAAAATAAAATTGTATTACACACTTGCTAATCCAATTTTGACACACAATTTTCTTCACCATCAATATAAGATATGCTATGCCAGGTTTCCTTATTTGTAATAATTCATGTATTACTTATAGTTTGCTTTAGATATGGTGGTTCTTTGTGTAAAATGTATTTGTTTATTTTTATTATTTATTTATTTCTTATTTTTCATTTTTGAGACAGAGTCTCACTCTGTCGCCCAGGATGGAGTGCAGCGGCATGATCTCAGCTCACTGCAATCTCCTCCTCCTGGGTTCAAGTGATTCTCCTGCCTCAGCCTCCTGAGTAGCTGAGATTACAGGCATGTGCCATCATGCCCAGCTAATTTTTCTATTTTTTTAATAGAGACGGAGTTTCACCATGTTGGCCAGGCTGGTCTTGAACTGACCTCAAGTGATCTGCCCACCTCAGACTCCCAAAGTGCTGGGATTACAGGTGTGAGCCACCATACCTGGACTTCTTTGTGTAAAATTTAAATGCTTCTTTTTTTAGCTAAGAAACATAAAACTTTCTATTCATATTTTACCTTTTCTCCCTTTTTGCAAATATGTATGATACCTTATTCTTGTGGTAGAATGTTACACATAGAAATAAAAGATTTAGTTAGCAACAGCAAACCTGAAAATGGATTAATGAAATATTTAAGACAGGGCAAGCAAGTCCATTTCCGAATGATGGGTGTTTGCATTTATCCAGTGGAGCTGCTGTTCATGGAGACACAGCAGCATCCCCCGAGAAGGCTGATAGCCCTGGCTTCCCTTCCCTTCAGGGGCAGGAGAAAGCTGAGCCTCTGGTGCTGTGTTTGACAACACAGACACAGCTTGGAGGTCTTGCGGGCTTGGTTCCAGACCCCTGCAGTAAAGTAAATATTAAATAAAGCAAGTTTTACACAGGTATTTGGGTTTCCCAGTGCATGTAAAAGTTAGGCTTACACTATACTATAGTCTATTAACTGTGCATTGGCATGATGTCTAAAAAATGTACATAGTTAACTAAAAATATTTTATTGCTAAAAATGGTAACAATCAGTAGTGAATTTTTTCCAGATGTTTTCAATTTACTTTGCCCAGACCCATCAGAGGAATCATTATCTGTGGCAGTTTTAACCATATCACAAGTATTTCTTAAGTAGTAAAACTTAAAAGTCAACATTACTCTTTGATCCATGGGCTGCAGAATGGGTGTTGTGTTTGCAGACATGAAACAGTATTAATCTTCTTGCACATCTCCATCAGACCTCTTGGGTCACCAGTGGTACTGTTAAGGACCACTAATATTTTTAAAAGAATCTTTCTTTTTTTTTCTTCCTGAGCAGTAGGTCTCAACAGTGGGCTTAAAGTGTCTAGTAAACCATGCTGTGGACAGATGTGCTGTCACCCAGGCATTTATAACGCACAAGGCAGATTAGGTTCAGTACAATTCTTAAGGGCCCTAAGACTTTTGGAATGGAAAATGAGCACTGGCTTCAATTTACGGTCACAAGCTGCATTAACTCCTACTAAATGAGCTAGCGTGTTATTTGAATCTTTGAAGTCAGGCATTGGACTTCTGTCTAGCTGTAAAAGTCCTCGATGACGTCTGCTTCCAAAAGAATGTTGCTTAATCTACATTGAAAATGTATTATTTAGTGTAGCCACCTTCATCAGTGATCTTAGCTGGATCTTCTGCACAAGTTGCTGCAGCTTCTCCATCAGCACTTGCTGCTTCACCTTACACGTCATGTTATAGAGTTGGCTTATTTCCTGAAACCTCATGAACCAACCTGTGCTAGCTCCAAACTTTTCTTCTGTACCTTCCTAATCTCTCTCAGCTTTCATAGAATTGAAAAGAGTTAGGACTTTGCTCTAGATTCAGTTTTGGTTTAAGGAAATGTGGTTGGTTTTATGTTCTGTCTAGAATGCTCACACTTTCTCCATATCAGCAATAAGGCTGTTTTGCTTTTTTGTCATGCATGTGTTCACTGGAGTAACATTTTTAATTTCCTTTTAGAACTTCTTTGCATTCACAGCTTGGCTAACTGCTTGGTGCAAGATGCCTTGCTTTTTGTCTATCTCTTCTTTTGACATGCCTTCATCACAAAGCTTAATTCTTTCTAGCTTTTGTTTTAAAGTGAGAAAGGTACAACTTTTCTTTCATTTGAACATTTAGAGGCCATCGTAGGGTCATTAACGGGCCTAATATCAATATTATTGTGTCTCATGAAATAGTGAGGCCTAAGCAGAGAGAGAGAGAGAGAGACGGGGGAATGGCCAGTCAGTGGGGCAGTCAGAAAACATGTATTTATCTATTAAGTTTACAGTCTCATATGGGCACAGTTCATGGTGCCCCAAAACAAGGTCAATAGTAACATAAAGATACCGATCACAGAGCCCCATAGCAGATACAATAAAAATAGAACCATTTGAAATATTATGAGAATTACCAAAATGTGACAGAGGTAGAAAGTGAACACATGCTGCTGGAAAAATGATGTCAATTGATGAGCTTAATGCCGGTTGCCACATACCCTCAGTTTGTAAAAAACACATTATCTGCAAAGTGAAATCAACTGAAGTGCAGTAAAATGAGGTGTGCTTCTACTTTGTCTCGAGAAGTTTTATTTAAGGCATCCAGGACCTGGTGCACCAACTTCCAGGACTCCCCAAGTCCATTCATCTTCTCTCCCGAGCATAGCTCTCCCAGCACCCTTCTGCCACCCCTGGAGAGCCCTTCACAGAGCCGGACAGGGGACCTGGGGTCTAGCACGAACAGGTTCAGCAGCCCTGGCTCGCCCACCCCTTCGAGGTAATACAACCTCCCCGGGGGTTCCTCCACTCTATGGGGCAGAGCCAGGCCATCAGTCTCTGTGCAAAAGTCAAAATATTGACCATACTGCATTGAAATTTTTTTTATAAAAGAAACTTTGGGATGTAAGTTTTTTTTTTAAAAAAAAAAAGAAAGAAAAAACACTTGGTGTGGAGAATGAAACTAATATCAGCCACTTACTATGCCAAGCTTAGTGCTAAATGTTCCACTGACATATTTTATGTATGTTAGCAATAAAAGAAAAGGCAAAGCTTGAAATGTTTTTCATTTCTATCTACACTCCATGTGTGTCTCATTTTATAATAAAAATCATGCTGACAAGTAGCAGAGTATCTCAATAAAACAACATTTTAGACCTATATTACAATGTTTTTCATTTTTTCTTCTTTCAGTAATTTTTTTAAGTGCTAAAGGCTCCTAGCTTCCTGAACATCAACTTTTTTCTTCTCTAGTTCTCATAGAAAAGTAAAATAAAATTAAAGGATCTCACTATTTAAATCAAGATCATTCTTTTCATTAAAAAGTAATATATTTTTCAGTAACAATGAAGATGAAGTCTTTAGCAAAATTTTATTTTGAATACATAAAGCACTTTGTAAAATTCTTCTTTAAATATGTCTAAAAACTCTTTGATCATGATGATCAAAGGATCAAAACTATTTTTTATACCTTTAGCATTTTTCAATGTGGGTCATAGTTACAAACCCTATAGATTGACCATTGTCTTGAGAGAGACAGAATAATTGAATTGTAGCAATGAAGAGTAGACACTTCCTTGTAAAAGAAGGAGAAATTCCCATGCACAGCTTCATCCCTAATATGTCAATATGTCACCATCTGAAAGGCCACCTCACCTTATTGAGGGAGGTGCTACAGCCCCACTCATAACATCATAACTGCTGGGAAGGAAACAAAGTTTTTATAGCACTCATGTAATTAAAAACAAAACTCATCTGTAATGAAAGGAACTTTTCAATTAAAAAAAGGGAAAAGTTATTCAGAAATACTGTCCGCTTCTAAAACTGAAAGGCATCACTCTGATACTAAGAAAAGATTTTAAGAAGAATGTATTATGGACAGATTCTCAAATGCAATAGGACAGCAGCAAATTGTATAATCACTCTTTGTTCATTATACATCTGTGACATAATCAGATTTAGGGATAATACAAAATTATAAAACTGAAGGTTTGTCAGATTAAATTGATGAGAAAAAATATAGCTTAAAGAGACCTTGTGACATATTAATAAATGGGTATATTCTGTAAGGAATATTAGCAAAACCTGTCTGAACTAGATTATAAATCTCCAATGAGTTTTTAAATTACTCATGCCTCCAGGACACAGAAACACAAACTACTGGATGGTAGACATGTCAGATTGGCAGCTACAAGGCTTAAAAAAATAGCAAGATAAAAAGCAGTGCTTAATTAAATATGTCTAATGATAAATTCCAGGTTACTTTAATTTTAATTGTGTTTGTGGTCTGTGTAATATGCGTGCACCTGTGGGCATGTGCCTGCAAGTACTGTCAGAGCAACTTCATCTAGTATTTATTTAATATAGCGTTTTATTGGCCTTTTTTTTTTTTTGCCAGAAGAGTAAACTTACATTGATGATTTATAATTTAAGTTAAAAAGTACTTTTCTTAGGCACTTGTTGATCCTTCAAACACCAATCACAGCAAATATATTTAGAGCACATACTACACTTTGGCCACTGTTCCAAGTGCCTGAGATTTATTTCTGGTCAGTTTCACAATTGATGACTCTGAAGCTCATAACACTGAAGTCCCTTGGACCAAGTGACATTGGTAGTCAATACTTCTTGGACCACAGGTTTGAAACTAGGCAGAAAACTGGCTCCAACTCGGTTTTACAAACATAACTGCACTGATTTCTATATTGTCTCACAGGTTATGAGGAAACCAGCTCCATTGAACAGTAAACAGTTTTAGTAAACCTGAGCTTATCAACAGAAACTTCAGCAACTCATCTGAGAATGTGAGAGATAATTTAGCATCTATTTATTCTATGTCTTTCCCCATATGATTTTCCTTGGCTCTCCTGAGAAATATGTTTATATTCAGGTGTGTGAGACGTATTAGAAAACATGGTATTTTCCTCAACTTGCTTTACCAAGGGGCAGTGTTAGGGAGAAGTGTAATTGGCACATATTTGGTGGAGCGAAATTGGCAGAGTTTTCCCGATCCCCGTGAATCCATCTTGCTGTGGGAGGCAACGCTGCTTTATCCAGCATGGTTATTGTGGTTTTGGTGATAGCTCAGGTATTTTAAGTGGCCTTGACTGACATTTCATACCTGTGGTTGTTGAGGAACTATGGCTGTTACCTAGCTCTTGTCTCCTGGAGGAAAGCCTTGGATTTCCCTGGGTGAAGTTTGAGTCCAGGGTGAATGCTCATGGGGTTGAATCCAGGCTGCAAAACAGACTGTTGACCTCTGACTTGGAAAACTTATTTGGAAGCCTTATGAAATAGAGTTCAAAGACACAACTGGCAATTCATATTTTCTTTCATATGGATTTGCTTAATGTATGGAAAAAAAGATAACAAGACTCCATTCATTCATTCATTCATGCATTCATTCACTCTTACATTGTTCTGTTTGGAAAAAACTCCTATATGCATCTTTGAAAATGCACACGTGGTTTGAGGAGCTCCAGTATGACTACATTTTCTTTTGTTTTTGTTTTTGTTTTTTGATGGAGTCTCGCTCTGTCACCCAGGCTGGAGTTCAGTGGCGTGATCTCGGCTCACTGCAAGCTCCGCCTCCCGGGTTCACGCCATTCTCCTGCCTCAGCCTCCCAAGTAGCTGGGACCACAGGTGCCCGCCACCACGCCCGGCTAATTTTTTGTATTTTTAGTAGAGACGCGGTTTCACGGTGTTAGCCAGGATGATCTCGAGCTCCTGACCTCGTGATCCGCCCGCCTCGGCCTCCCAAAATGCTGGGATTACAGGCATGAGCCACCGCACCCAGCGACTACATTTTCTTAGGCTAGGTGGGCAGGGCTCTGAATCTTCCATTTTTGCTTTAGCTAATATTTTATAGAATAACACTACTTGGAAAAAGAAGAATTCCTTTGCTTAAATTAAAGTTTCTGTTTTTACTTTTTTAAACAACTGATCCAGACTCCTTTAATCTCAATTTCAGATTTAAACATGTCAATACAAAATTGACGTAAGTTTAAGTATACAATTACCAATATTATTAGACGTGTTAGCATCAAATATTTTTCACGGTGAATTATTTCAAGTGTTATTTAAAATTATATGCCTTTGTTTTATCTCCCTTGGAGGCCTATTGTGATTTACTTTGTCATATCCCTCAAAATCCCCGTTCTAGTTATGTTTTAAATTAAAGATATAATAGTTAAAACTGAAGCAATTAAAATTACTTGATGTTAGTAATACATTTTATTATTTTTAAAAACCTGCTAATATTTTTCTACCAGAATTATCATAGAAAATAACTGGTGAAAGATTGAGTATGGTGGTGATATTTGAAAAGAAAAAGAGGCAAGAACTAATTCATGCTTCAAAAATAATTAAACGAGAAAAAATGTCTGGCATGAATAAGTTTCAAACTGGGTAGAAGTGCTTATCTCCATGGTTCAATAAATATTTAAAATGCTATCCATTATATTATTTTGAGCTCCTTACTGAATTTAACTCTACCCTCATTCATCCTATATCACTTTCTTTCTTAAAATATTTTCTTCATAGACCAGCTGAGTAAATCTGGAACATCATCAAGGTCCCCACAGCCAAGAGTAAGGAAACAGGAGTAAATTATTTACATGGGCTATGGTGACTAATAAAATCTCACATTGAATGGCTTAGATCTGTCTATTCTGCTGTAAACATTTAAGTACTTATATCAATGTTCTTTGCTTAATGAATAAATATATTTATTTTCTAAATATTCCTATAGTTTACATAATTTGGACACTTCCTTTCCCTTGTCATGAGAGGCTATGGAACAATATCTCCCCATGTTATTACACTGGGATTCCCTATCCTTTACTTGTAAAATGATTTCTGAGCAAGATAGTGAGGGGCTCACCTACCTAATCAAAACTAAATTTCTCCGGTCTAAGTAGTTAATTTACCAGAAAGCACTGCCCATTATCTTTTGCAAACAAAGCAAGGTGACGTGCATTTTTATGTATGTTTGTATTGTGTATCTTTTTTATTAGCATATAAAGCCAAAGATAGCAGGAGCCTTGATGCTTTATTGACTAACATATCTCCACTGTGTATAGTAGTGCCTGGCACAGAGCAGCTGCTCAATAAATATTTATAGGATGAGCCAGTGGATGGAGGAAAAAATGATTAGATTGAGAGAAGGATGGAGGGAGAGAAGGATGGGTGAATGGATAGACAGGTGTATGGATGGATGGATGGATGCATGGATGGATGGATGGATGCATGGATGGATGGATGGATGGATGCACGGATGGGTGCATGGATGGATAGATGGATGGATGGAAAACAGATACATAGATGAGTGGACTGATGGAGACTGGACAGGTGAATGAATGGATGGGTGAAGAGGAGGTGGATGCATACGTGGAATATCTGATATAACTTTCTTTGGGCCTCAGTGTGATGCATTCAATTAGCTGTCTTTTTCGCAGGGTCTTTATTTCAAAATGAGAGCCACTTAGAAGGCAAAACAGAGATGAGATTCCTCTGAAGCTGAACTGAACTAAAATTAAACAATTTAGGAAGAATGATACATCTATATCTTGATTCTAAAATTATCTTAGTTTTCAATGAAACAAATTTCATTTTAATTTTTGATGTAATAAAAATAAATCGTAATCTGTATAACACCACCAACAGGCTTTTGAGCTAAAGTTGCTCAATGTGATTGTCATGATCTCTTCGGATCATTTAAAATTAATATTCAGCCTAACAATCTATCATACAGGTAGGTCTGAAAGCTGAACTTCTAATGCCTTAATGATCTTACTTTCCAAACAGCTTGCTGGAAGTCATCCTAATTCAGTAGTGCTCTTTATAATGCTTACCCGAAAATCACTGTCTAATCAAGTTAATGCTTTCCTCTACTTTGTAACATAATTGCAAATACTCTTATGAGATGCCTTTGGACAACAGAACTCTGAAAATGGCTATATCCAGAGTCACTGCAAAAGACTCTGACTTTTGCATTTGGATTGGGGTGAAAGATGTACGGAAATCACAATTAATGATGATTTATTACTGTATGATTTAGTATTAGGCACTGGAAAAAAAGAAAATGTTAAAGAGAAAAAGAGTGAAAAAGCAAATCTTGATGTTAAATTCAAGTATTCAACCTTTATATTTTAATTAAGATTACACTTGTTTTATCTATGATTTTCTGAGAAAGTTGTATCAAGATTCTCTATTATAAATGTTGTTTTATCAATTTGTTCCTGTGGTTTTTTCCACTGTTGCTTGATGTACATATTTATATGGCTATGCTTTCAAAAAATGTGTATCTCTGTGGTGAATTGTGTCTTTTATCACTTAAAATATACCCTTTTTTAACCCGATAGTTTATTTCACCGTAACATGTACTTTTGCTGATATATTTTCTTTTATTGGTCAGTAATTTTCTGATATATATTTTTTAGTTTCAACCTTCTGTGTCAGCCTAATTTCAAAACTTTTGTTAGAATAATGCATAAAGTTGTGGTATCAGTCAGGGTTCTCCAGAGTGAGGAAGATATATTTTAAAGAATTGGCTCATGTGATTATGGAGGCTCA
Source organism: Homo sapiens (assembly GCF_000001405.40). Taxonomy (NCBI): domain Eukaryota; kingdom Metazoa; phylum Chordata; class Mammalia; order Primates; family Hominidae; genus Homo; species Homo sapiens. Next base: position 4,225,813 of record NC_000010.11, on the reverse strand, counting down.
TAGGCAGTTCTGTGGGGTTAACCAGCAGGCTGGAGACCCATGGAGAGACAATGATGCTGTTTAAAGGTCATCCATCAGAAAATTTTCCCCTAATTGTGGGAGGTCAGTCTTTTTGTTCTATCCAGAATTTCAAATGATTGGATGAGGCCCACCCACGTTATAGAGGGCAATCTGCTTTACTCTACAGATTAATATGGTAATCTCATCCAAAAGCACTCTTACAGAAACACCCAGCATGTTTGACCAAATAACTGGACACCCCATAGCTCATTCAAGTTGACACACAAATGAATCATCATAGTTTTTTTTTTTTATCAATTCTAAAAATTTCTGTCTTTGGCCAGGCTTGGTGGTTCACGCCTGTAATCCCAGCACTTTGGGAGGCCGAGGGGGGTGGAACACGAGGTCAGGAGATGGAGACCATCATGGCTAACATGGTGAAACCCCGTCTCTACCAAAAAAAAAAAATACAAAAAAATTAGCCGGGCGTAGTGGCGGGCGCCTGTAGTCCCAGCTACTCGGGAGGCTGAGGCAGGAGAATGGAGTGAACCCAAGAGGCGGAGCTTGTAGTGAGCCGACATCGCGCCACTGCACTCCAGCCTGGGCGACAGAGCAAGACTCCATCTTAAAAAAAAAAATTCTGTCTTTTAGGAAATGATTTTATATTTTTACATTGTAATTAATGACATATTTGCAATTCATATATTAGTAATTTATTTTTATCATCTTATGGCTGCTATTTTTTTATGTTTTCCCTCTTCCTTTTATTTTCTCTTCTCTTGTCTTCCTTTGCATGGTTTGGATTATTTTACTCGCCATTTTCCCTTTCTACAGCTTTCATGCATTCTCCTGTGCAGTTGTACCCATGAGTTTTCATTTCCATGCTTTTAAAAGATATATTTTTGCATTTGACCTTATATATAGCAGCATGCATAATTGTCTAAACAAAGTGTAAAGTTAATATATGTGTCATTTTCCTGATAAGACATTTAGAATACTTTTATATTAATCATTCCGATCTTGTTTTACATGTTATTTTATTCATATATTTCAATTCTCCACTTAAAGTACATCAGATTAATTGCTATAATTATTACATTTTATAGTCATTTATTAGAGTTATTTATCCATTCATTTGCTCTCTTTTGCTTCTTAGAGGTATATTAGAGCCTCTTGTCTACCTTTTCTGTCTTTTTTTTTTTTTTTGAGACATTCTCACCCTGTCACCCAGGTTGGAGTGCAGTGGCGCTATCTCAGCTCACTGCAACCTCTGCCTCCTGGTTCAAGTGATTCTCCTGCCTCAACCTCCAGAGGAGCTGGAACTACAGGCATGCACCACCACCACCCGGCTAATTTTTGTACTTTTAGTAGAGATGAGATTTCACCCTGTTGGCCAAGATGGTCTTGAACTCCTGACCTCAAGTGATCCACCCACCCTCGGCACCCAAAGCGCTGGGATTACAGGCATGAGACACTGTGCCCGGCCTATCTTTTATCTCTTAAATTTTTTTTTAATTTTCTATGCTATATATTAGGCAATCGTAAGTAAACTTTTTTTCCCTAAGGGGAAAAATACATAATATTTTAGGCTTTGTAGGCCACATAGTTCTCTGCCAAAGCTACTCAGAACAACCACGGACAATGCAGGAAAAAATGGAAGTGTCAGTGTCCCAACAAAACTTTATTTAAGAGAAAAAATTCAGTTGGTTGGCTGGATTTGGCCTGTGTGTTACTACCGTTTCTGATACATGTTCCACTTGTTCCAGATAAATTTCTCAGTGCTTTCCTCCAATTCACTCTATTTCCCTTTGACCGGGTCCCTTTGAGATAGTCTAGAGTTCATCTCATACATGTTGTTTTACTTGACAGTATTTTTCATAGTCAATCCATATTAATTGAAAGTAATATGAAATATGGAGAGTTCTGGTGTTAATTTAATGGCAGGGTGTGTACATAATATTTACACCACACACATAAACCACGAATGGTTGCCACATTTATGAAAATGCTGATACATTTTATTTTGTTTTAAAATAGAGGATTAGGCTAACTCCATAATTTAGTGTTTCTTTATAAATTATCTTTCTAGGCCGGGAGCAGTGGCTCATGCCTGTTATCCCAGCATTTTGGGAGGCTGAGGTGGGCGGATCACTTGAGGTCAGAAGTTCAAGATCAGGCTGACTAAAACAGTGAAACCCTGTGTGTAGTCCCAGCTACCTGGGAGCCTGAAGCAGGAGAATCGCTTGAACCCAGGAGGCGGAGGTTGCAGTGAGCCAAGACTGCACCACTGCACTCCAGCCTGGGCAACAGAGCAAGGCTCCATCTCAGAAAAAAATAAAAATAAAATATCTTTCCATACTTGACATTTTGAGCACACGTAAGAATGAGCTTGGAATTCTAACATATTTTTATTTGTTCCTGATTGCTTTTATGGTAAATCTTGTCAGTGAAATGAGGTTTAGGTGTCATTCAAAGTCAAAAGAAGATGGGTGGTGAATGATATTACGTTTAAAAACATGGGCCATTAATGATGGATGATTTTCTTTAAAAGAACTAAAAGCAATAATCTTAGACATTATTGAAAACAACCAGGAGTTACAAGTTTGCACACTGTTATGAATATAAGGAAACTCACTATAGTGTAAACCAGCATCACTTCAACCCATCTTTTACTGTATGGTGTGGCTGTAACACATGCTTTATTGGTGACTTTCTTCTTCTTACTGTTAACCTTTTATGGCCAGAATAGTAGATCCTGAGGATTCAAAGCTTCTCCTTTACTTACGTGATGTATGCCCAACATCACAATTATCTCTCAACCCTATTTGAGCTTGTATATGAGGCTAGTCTCAACAACTTTTAAAAATAATAATCCCGTTTGCTGAAAACCTACCTTAAAGACTGGAACTTGATAATGACATAAAGTACTCAGTTTTTAGAGTGCCTCAAGTGCTACTGCTTTGTAATATGTTGAATGGTGGATGCTGTGCATGCTTTGGGTTTATTCTCTGTAGTCTAGACAAATGACAAAATGATGAGGAAAAGGCTTTGGCCGCCATAGGAAATGTTGAATGCAGACATACACCCAGAGAGCCCACCATCAATCAGTAGATCATGACAACATTTTTTCATTCATTCATTCATTCATTTATTCATCCAAAAATATTTATTGGACACCAACTACAACCTGGCACTAGATGTTGAGACTAGATGGGTGATTAGACATGCTTTTTGCCCTCATGAAATTGTAGACTACTTTTAAAAATATTCAGTTTACCATAATTATATGTTCTGGGAAAGTTGTTACCATATGGGTTTTTTTTTTTAACAAATCCTATTTTCCGTAGGGAATAATATACCTATTAGAAAAAATGGGGCAGAATAAAGTGAATATTTTTATGCATTTTAAGCACAAATTAAATATATTTTCTTCAAATGTATATTTGATCAATTGATATTTGATTCATACATAATGCATAAAATGTTCTTAATACTCTCTGAAATTTGAATAAAAACAAAGACATAATTGCATAAAAAGGCAGACAGTCTCAATATGTTATAATAAATAAATAATGTTTGCTTTACAGAGGCTCATTTATAAGAACAGAAGCAACTTACTATTTTCTGGGAGAAGAAAAGTCTTTTCTGAGAACAGCTGATAAAATTTCATTCCTTTTGAGTTTTCTGAACTTGTCCAATCCCTGTTGAAGTATATTTTTAAACTTATGACTAGATTTTCAATTCTACAGATAAGTAATACCTAGAAAATATATTTGCATCAATGTGCTTATTTTTGCCAGCTTTGACAAAAAAAAGCTGTATTTTAACTAAATAAAAATAAAAACCTTCCTTTTATTTAGGTTTTACATATGATATTCTTCATATGTGAAGCTGTGAATCCACCATCCCAGGGCTTGAATTTTTCTTCATTGGTCATGATGGATTTATGTCTATTTCTCCTCATCAACTGATATCAAAGAAGTTGTAGGATATCTCAGGGGGCTGACAAAAGGAATCTGTGGTTAAGAAACACAACACAGATTGTTGCCCCTGAAAGCTATCCTTGAGCTAGACCTTTGAAAAGAGTTCTTTGCCCACTTAACCACCCCGATTTACTTTCAATTATGCACTTAAAAAATAAAGTAAAATTTCTACAGTTGAAGGAAGAGTATGTTTTGATATAGTTTGGCTGTGTAGCCACCAAATCTCATTTCGAATTATAACCCCCATAATCCCCACATGTCAAGAGAGACCAGGTGGAAGTAATTGAGTCATGGGGCAGATCTTTCCCATGCTGTTCTCATGACAATGAATAAGTCTCATGAGATTTGTGGTTTTATAAAGGGGAGTTTCCCTGCACAAGCTCTCTTGCCTGCTGCTATGTAAGATATGACTTTGCTTCTCCTTGGCCTTCCACCATGATTGTGAGACCTCCCCAGCCATGTGGAACTGTGAGTCCATTAAACCTCTTTTCTTTATAAATTACCCAGTCTCAGATATGTCTTTATTAGCAGCGTGAAAACAGACCAATACAGTTTATAACCAAATATGCCCAGGCCACTTCCAGTGTGTGAGGAGGAGACACCAGCCTGTCGATGCCATGCCTGCACAGGGTCTCCACCAAGAAAGCACAAACGTGCATTTTTCACTGCCCAGCATTTTGCAATTCTTTATTTTTATATTAATCATTTCAATCTCGTTTTGCATGTCATTTTATTCATACATTTTAATTCTCCTTCCTTTAAAGTACGTCAGCTTATTCATTGCTATTATTATTGCATTTCATAGTCAATGCTTATCTAGAGTTATTTATCCATTTATTCACTCTCTTTTGCTTCTTTGAAATGTATTAGATCCTCTCATCTATCTCTTATCTCATTTTTTTTTCTTTCTCTGTTTCTCACTTGAGAAGAATATGTATGCTTCTCGCGTCAATTATCTTTTGAGTAAGGTCTCTAATCCTGACCATCCACCCATACCTGAGTTTTGACATTTTTGTATCAATTTGATATTCCTGTAAGACTGACCCACTTTTAACTTCCTCATATTCCAGACCTGCACAGCATGTTCATCTTGCTAGACATCCTCTCTACTTCCTTTCTGGCAGTAACATTATTTCAGTAGCCCACCAGCAAGTTTCCTTCTTTCTGGCTTTTCTTTTGTTTAAATGCTTTTGTTTACCTGCTGTCTTAATCAGGGGTGTCCAGAGAATCAGAAGCAATGGGGGATATAGACATATATCCCATATATTTCCTATATATGTATCTATCTATATAGATAGTTATCAATTTATATCTATATAGTTATCAATATATCTATATAGTTATCAATTTATATCTATCTATATATCTATATAGATAGAGATATTTATAGATACTAGCTAGATACAGATATATAGATATCTATATCTATATGTATGTATTTATTATGGAAAATTGGAGCTGGAGACCCAGGAAAGCAGGTGGTGTGACTGCAGTGCGAGGGCAGGAGAAAACCTTTGTTCCAGCCAAATGCTGGGGCAGAAAAAGGAAGGGGGCAGGGTAGAATTCTTTCTCCCTTAACCTTTTGTTTTATTCAAGTCCTTGAGGAATTGGATGATGCCCACTCACTTTGTGGAGGGTAATCCGAATCCACTTTACTAAATCCACCAGTTCAAATGTTAATCTCATCTAGAAACACCCTCACAGACGCTCCTAGAAGTAATGTTTAATCTGGGCACCACATGTCCCGATCAAGTAGACAATAGGATTAGCCATGCTCCCTGCTATGTCATATCATTCATGTCATTGCAATGCAATCACTGGTTTTACACAACCCTTCTAATGACCAGAATTTGGACTCCTTAATTTCAGAGACTTATTTCTCGTCTTGTTTTCAGGACCTAACATAGGGAAAGATGCAAAGTAGGCATTCAATGCTTTTTTTCTTGAATGAATTAATAAATGGACAAAGAGAAAAGCAAATAAAATATATGAACACCCAATCTTGTTAGCCCTTCTTTATAATACTTTTAAACTTTGTTTCTTGCTCTTCTTTGCCTCTCCAAAACAACTCCTGTTTGGATGACTACAAATAAGATAATTATGTGTCTCCTTCCTCCTAAATCAACCCTTTGCAGTTCATTCTGAAAATCTCAATCTGTATTATATTTTACAAACATTATTCTCTATTAGTGTCTAGAGATCTCAGAGCAATAGGAGCTCAATAATTATTTGTTACATGTTACCTAAGCTTCTAAACAGGCACTATATTACCCATAGATTTATTGGTAGCATAGTCTAATGAAGACTTTCAACAGAGAAAAAGAAGGAAGAGTGGAAGCAGCTTCAATCATTAAGAAAGACATCAGAAATCATGTCCTTTGCAGCAACATTGATGGAGCTGGAGGAATCTAAATGAATTGATACAGAAGCAGAAAACCAAACGCTGAATGTTCTTACTTACAACTGAGAGCTAAACATGGAGTACACATGGGCACAAAGAAGGGAACCATAGGCACAGGGGTCTAGTTGTGGGTGGAGGGTGGGAGTGTGAGGGTTGAAAACCTGTCAGTATATGCTGATTACCTGGGTGACAAAATTATCTGTACACCAAACTCCAATGACATGCAGTTTACCAATGTAACAAATTTGCACATATACCCCCTTGAATCTAAAATAAAAATTGTAAGGAAACAAAAACCAAAAGCTATATTCTTCGAAGAAGAAAATTACATTTCAGTGTTCAGTTAATTTCATTTTGAAGTTTTCACAGGAAAACACACAGCTTGCCTGAGCTTTTCCCTTCTTCAAGAAGTCTAGAAAATTGCCTTCTTTAAAAAAAGATGGAAATAGAGTTGACTTTTAATTATTTTCTTTTCTTTTCTTTTTGGTGGGGGGTGGGTGGGGAGACAGAGTCTCGCTCTGTCACCCAGGCTGGAGTGCAGTGGCATGATCTCGGCTCACTGCAACGTCTGCCTCCCAGGCGCCAGCAATTCTCCTGCCTCAGCCTCCCGAATAGCTGGGACTACAGGCGCCCACCACCATGCCCAGCTAATTTTTGTATTTTTAGTAGAGACAGGGTTTCACCATGTTGGCCAGGATGGTTTTGAACTCCTGACCTCAGGTTATCCACCTGCCTCGGCCTCCCAAACTGCTGGGATTACAGGTGTGAGCCACCATGCCTAGCCGACTTTTAATACTTCTAACAAACAAGTATGTAAACTGAAGATTTCCACTGGGATTACAGAAATTCTATAAGAAGAACTGTCTAATAATCTAGGCTTGTGTAGCTCTGGTAGACGTTTGTAAACTATAATTTGAAAACACATTAAAAATAATTATACATAACAATTGAGGAAGGCTTACTACTTAAATGCATTAATTTATCATCAAAGATCTTTACAAATATTAACTAATAAATTCTTATAATATTGGCCCTATGATTAAGCATTGATCATTTCTGTACTATGTTTCAAAGAAGAATGGATGAATACAAGTAAAAATACTCTCACAGAGAGAGGGAGGAAGAAAAGTGTTTTTGAGAACAATTTAAAATGGAAAATCCAAGTAAAGGTGGATTTGAGGACTTACAGATATTAAGTCACTGCAGCAATCCCTTTGGGAGTTATCAAGATTAAAACAAAGCTGGTTTCTTCATATCTGATAATAATCAGTTTCAATCTCTGCACAAAACACAAAGCAATAAAGCTCTTTTCAGAAGAAACTGAACAGACGAGAGGCTTTAGATGGAAGTTACACCTTAATGGGAAGTACAATTACTGCACAGGCCGCTCATTGCCAGAGAGCACAAGGGGTCTCTCACTTAGAAGCCTCAGCTTGCCCTGAAAGTCGAGGTAAGAGAATTTCTGTGGGCCAGCTATTCTGCATGTGGACCTTGGCAAGCATGGAGTGTTTGAGTGCAGGAATTTTGCGCCCTGCAACGTAGACTGTACGAGAGAATGAGAAAGGGAAAAGCAATCAAATACCAGCAGTCTTTCTTCATTGCGAGGAATATTACCGGTGGCACTGACAGCTATACCAGTGGCACTGACAGCTAGGAGAGCAGTCTTGAGCGTCTCCCTGCCGCCTTGCTAGCAGAGCAGCCATCAGAAGAAAGCACAGGTTCCTCTGCAGCTGAGAGGTCCCAAACACTTTTACATACTTGCATCCTTTTTAAGGCTGGGGGGTCCTGATATTTCCCCAACACTTCACAACAGGTACGGGAGCAGAACCAGCATCAGACTCCGGAGGCTGACCCCCTGAATCTGAAGATTAGACTCGCAGATCTCTGCCTCTGGTTTTCAAACATAGACAGCGTGAACCCAGAAATGTGATGTGATCCAGCTCAGAGCTTCAATTGCACACACACAAAGATCAGACAAACCAAATTCTTATAACTCCAAAGGTTAACGAGGAAACAATCATTTCTCTCTTGACCCAGAAAACAATGAAAATACCTCACTTGATATTGGTGACAAAGTTCCTCTCCATCACAATCACACAGAGTCACAGGTCGAGGGTCAGAAAATAACAACACAGAAGAACTGGTAATGACATAGCACAGTCGAAGGGGACCAATCTCCACTGCCCAAGGTGCTTCAAAGTCAATGAGATGTGTTTGACCTACAAAAAGCTAATGGCTTAGAGAATGTCATGCTGGGAATATCTAACAGAAGCTTTTAATTGCCTGTAAGATAAACCCTAGTTTCCTGCATGAAAATAATTTATGATAATGTGGTACTGTGTAATAATTTTAAAAACTGCAGGAATCTGTGGATCAGAAACATATACATTTAAGCATTCATTTCCCTTGAAGACATTGTTCGAAAATGTTTGCATAAAAAAAGATGCAATCACAAATTTACTTTTGCTTTGCTACAGAATATTGGCAAATTGCCTTCCATCGTGAATGTCCCCACATATTAACTATGAACAGCCTCTGCTGAGTTCAGCCATTCCCACACTCACAACAGGAGAATCAAATACCAGGGAATGGGAAGTGAATCTTAATACTGCTTCTGTTGCTAAAGTTCAGTAAAGTCAGTCATTGCATTATTTTTTTGTAAGTTCGTTATCAGCCATGTTTGGGAGATGATTATTTTGATTATGGAATACACAAAATGCCTTGTATGAAACAGAATGAAAATTTATCTTATGCCTGTTTGGTTTTCCTTTCTTTGGCAGGGAGGGGGTCAAAATACAAAGCCACGGAAATTCATTTAGAAAGAAAGATGCATGGAATTTTTAATTTTCTTTTGCAGACATTGTCCCTTTAACCATCCTGAAAGAAAAAAAATGTGCGTATTTTAAAATCAGGCAAAACTGTTAAATTAAGGGCAGCTCTAACCTTTTTTCCTCCATCCTTCTTCCCCTTCCTAAGTCAATCCAATCAATCCATCCTTAATCAGCCAGGAAGAAGTTGTTGAAGGTCTGGAATGAGCTCGGCCCTGTGCCAGCCACTGGGGAACCCTGGCCATGAAGAGCAGGGCTTCTGCCTTTTCGTATGTGTGTGCCAATTAGACCCGAACAGGGATGAAGAGTAAAGCATTTCTTTAAATTCTGAGTGCAGTCTGCATTAAATTTAGGGGATTTTCATGAAGCTTTCTAGAGGAATGACTCTTCTGTGTTCTTGGCTATCAAGATGTGGGTTCTTGACTATGTCATGGAGCAAGTCAGCTAACTCATGTATTTGCATATCTAAAATGAGATTCATTACAAAAGTGTATGTTAATAAAGAACACCATTAGCACTCAATTTTGCATTCCAATTGATGCTATTCAGGGGCTTACTAGTAGGCAAAGTACAGACCCAGTTTGTATCTTATGTGAGAGACAAGAAAATTAGATTATTAAGATCCAACCATATATATCTGCTGTGGATTTTAGGGAGCAGGTTAGAATAACTATGGTTAATGAGGTCATTACCTAAGGATATGCCATTAGATCTATTTTGTGTCCAGTGAACCAATCTTAAATATTTTAACATCTTTATTACAGAATGCACTATTATGATAATACCTTAAAATAATACTAATTCGTATCTACATGAAGTTTCCATTTTGGTGAGTCACTGCAATTAGATAAGTAATTGGAAGAAGATGGTCGCTCTCATCGGAAAGAAATTGTGCATCAGAATAAATCAACTTCCTCTTGTGTGCTTGTAAAAAGTACATGATAGACTTTGCTCTCTGAGCTCTACTCTGCAAGCAATGAAGGCATTTATGAACATGGTGAATTCTGTTGAGTAATTGAATTGCATGTAATCAAATAAGAAGTGATTAAGAAAAAGGGCAGGGGAAACGGAAATAACCAGGGTGGATACATGATATGGACATATAAGGGTGGGGGAAGGATAAAGGCCAAAATTATAACCAACTACAGGATGGTGCTGGGGCTGGCTGTCTTTCTAGTTCAGGGTCGCTTGTGTGAAACCTGCTCATACATTCTCGAAGCAGAGGTTCTGACTTGAAAAAAGAGGCTCAAGGGCCACACAACAACAGGTTTTCTTCAGTCTACCATCTCAATGTCCCCTTCTGGATTTGAGAATTACAAACCAGAGAACCAGTCTGTGATGGAAAGATTTCATATTCCTCCATAGGCTAAAAGGCTGATGGAGCTGTAACTGGTGCAGCAAATGCTCACACTGAGATTTGAAATCAGAAGCTGACCTTCATGCAAGAGCTCTGACTGTCTCTCATGCTGACCGCTGAGACTGTCTTGCATTCCTCAAAAGAGCTCTTCATTTGTCCCTGGCATCTAACAGAGACCCAGAGGGTGGATCTCACAGCATGGTCTAAAAATAGAATCTCCCATTTCAGAGAGAATAAAAATGTATGCAAGCAATAGGTATTCTGGTTTATTTGCAAAACAAAGCCTACTTGCCATCTCAGAAAAAGCTTTGCATCATTTCAGAAGAATAGTTCAGAGTGGAGATGAGCTTAAAATGCAGGAATAGAAGTGGAGGTTGGAAAACAAGGGAGAAATGGAAATCATTCCCAGGACTGGCAGAATCTCTATTTCTTCTTGACCCTTTGGGCCAACTGTGGATTCTAAATGACACTTAGAACAGTACTCAAAAATAAAAAATAAAAAACAAACTTCAGGAAGAACCAACATGCTTTGTTCTTTTTGGGAATTATAGATGAAGCAGAAAATTTTTGCTTAACATTTCCAACAAATTGTTTGAAGGGCACGGAGAGCTAAAGCTTTTTATGCACTACAATTTTTAAAAAAAAAAAAAAAACCTCCAGAGTTTGTTATTGTTCTATTTATTTTTTCTGTGTTTACCTCAAGTTGGCATGAACAAATTAGTAAAATAGCTTGCAAATTTGTGCATCTGTTAATTATGTCTAAGGCCCAGTACTAGAATATATGAATTTAAACAGACCCTTACATTTTAAGTTATTCTAGAAAGAAACAAAGAGAGAAAAAGGGAGGGAGAGAGAGGGAGGCTATCACATTATTATTCAGAAAATATTCAATTATATAAGAAATTGCAAGTCTTACACAGAAGAGTCCTTTTCCCAGAATAGGATTTATATTCAAATTTAACTATCTTAAAGTAGTTACTATGTGGTACAGTGGGAGAATATAAAAATTCTATTAAATGGGACACATGTTTCATTAAGCTAAAAAGCCTTCAAATAATATCAGTTTATTTTCTCTAATTTTGATCTCAAAAGATTGGAAATTCAGCCTGGATGACCCTTCCCTCTCTTGACCAATATGGCCATTTCCTAATATGGTCATTCCTAGACAGTGTGAGGAGTTGAAGAGTGCCATTGAGTGTGTGTGTGTCCATCCAGCTCACCTGGATTGACACTCAGGCTCGGATATTCACCATCTATGTAAACCTCAGTAAGCTGCCTGACTTCCCTGCACTTCAGTTTCCACAACTGCAACTGCAAACTGGGGACCATTTTAGAAAGTGCTTTGTAAGGTTTGTTATGGATTGACTTGTATCTCCCCCAAAACTCATATATTAAGGTCTTCAGAATGTGACTGTATTTAGAGATAAGGTCTTTACAGAGGTATTCAAGTTAAACTGAGGTCATTAGGATAAGCCTTAATGCAATATGACTGGTGTCCTTACTAAAAGAAAGAAATTTAGATACACACAGAGAGAACGCCATGTGAAGAGGAAGAAAGAGAACTGGGTGATGCTTCTATGAGTCAAAGAATGCCAAAGAGAGTCAGCAAACCACCAGCAGCTCCTGAAGAGGCTGCAGACAGCACCTTCTTCACAGCCTCAGAAGAAACCAACCCTGCCAATGCCCTGACCTTGGACGTGCAGCCTCCAGGACTGTGGGATGATGCATTTCTGCTATTCACGTCGCTCTGTTAGTGGGACTTTGCTACAGCAGCCCCAATAAACTAACACAAGGTTATTGTGAGTTTATAGGCTGAGAAACGTAAAAAACAGCGACAACGAAAATCCTTTAAAGCATGCCAGGAGCAATAAAGGTGAGCTCACATGATTGTTGCTATTAACACTATGCCTCCAGTCATTTTAAGTGTTAATGGTATATGTTCTGCATCTATTTCCTTAAAATAACATACCCACCTTAGGTTAGAACATACCTACCTTAGCTGAGAAGTCAACTGACTTCTCCAGCGGCTCCTTACCAATGTGTTTGATTGATAGTTTGACAAAACTGGCCAGTGGATTTAGTGGGAAAAGTTGCACAGTCATGGGGGTAGATGCTGTCCTCAGTGGCCTGGATCCGTTTTCTTTCTCAGGTTTCCCCTGATCAACTGGAGGACGGCACCACACAGACCGTGCTTGCACACACAGATACAAACACTGGCACCCAGCATGTACACCACTGTAGATAAGGCCCATGTACTCATTTCCTTTTCAAGAAAATAAGATAAAATGACATAGACAAAATAGAACAGAGAAGAAAAGCAATTTCTCAGCCCTCACTATACAAGGCCATGCAATTTCAGGTTACAGCAGATGCCCCGGCCCTAAAACATTTCATTATCAGCTACAAAGCATGAATGCTAAAGTGTATTTCCAAACTTCCCGCAAGAGCAGAGAGTGCTTTGGAAAGGCTGCTGTGTGCACCAGGGTGCCCAGGGCTTGTCCCCTCTCGGTGAGGGATACAGTCTCCTGTCTCCGTAAACATTTCAGAACTTCCATTAATGGGTATAGGCCATTGTCTCCAAGTAACCTCCTAATACTCAGCCGTGCATATCTTATGCGTCAAACACTTGTCTCAGAATCTCGGGCCTTATTGTTTTGTCTTTGAGATTTTTCTCTTCACCTCTCCCAAATTTTAACTTGCAGATGAACCCTCCACCACATGCAGCTGAGACATGACAAATGTCTTCCTTGTGGGTTACTGGAGGCTGACTGTTCACCAGACCAGCAAGGAATTCTGCACAGCCAGGGATTTCTACCTCCCCACCCTCCCATCTCTCCACCCAAACAAATGTGAAAATGACATTCCTAGAGAGGGCTGGGGCAGTGGCCAGTCTTCCTTCAGGATCATCTGTGGGGCTTGGGAAAAGTGTCTTATTACCCAAATTCTTGAACTCCTTGCATAACACTTCCCAAATCAGCCTTCTCTTATGAATCTATCTTTAGGCAAAATATGGTCTAACCATTTCTTAGATGTTCTAATTTAGATATTCAAGTAACTCAATGGCTTTTGTGGCATTTCAGCTTGACATACCAGCAACATGTGAGTGGTTTCTTTGTTTACATTTGTTACTGGAAACTTTAAATATTCAGTTATTGTGATAAGCCAGGTAGAATCCCCTTGAATACACTTATATTGTTGGACTATTGCTAGAAAAGCTCATTGTCATGGAAAACTGATATATTTTTATGCTTTAGAGAGTAAGTCACCATTTATATACAATAAATTATATATAACTATAATTTATTTAATATTGATTATATATGTTATAAGATCTACAGTAGACTCTTGAACAATTATATATGTAATCCACAATGATATATACTACAGTAGACCCTGGAACAACATGGATTTGAAATATACAGGTCAACCTACATGTGGACTTTCTTCTGCCTCTGCCACCCCTAAGGCAGCAAGACTAACCTCTCTCCTTCCTCCTCCTCCTCGGCCCACTCAATGTGAAGACCACAAGGGTGAAGACCTTCATTATGACCCACTTGCACTTAAAGAATAGTAAATATATTTTCCTTCCTTGTGATTTTCTTAATCTTATTTTCTGTTTCCTAGCTTACTTTATTATAAGAATATACTTTTATATATACATATATCACAAAATATGTATTAATCCACTGTTCATGCTATCAGAAAAGCTTTGGGTCAACAGTAGCTATTAGCAGTAACGTCTTTGTGGATTCAAAAGTTGTATCTTTGACGATGCAGGAGGGTGATTAGGATTCCTACCACCTTGTTTTTCAAGACTCGGCTGTAAACCTATATCTATATTTATTTTTAATACAATGTAAAATATTGTTTCAGGAGATGTGAAAAAATGCCTTTCTTATTAAATGAAAGAAAACATTTCAATGACAGCCCAATGGCACCTCTGTTGTATGGGTCGAGGTGGGTTCTCAGATACCCAAATGGTCTTCAGGTTTTGATTGACACATCAAACCTCTATTGAGCCCTCAGTATAGGCCAGGCTTTTTGTAGATAAAAAGTGAGCACTGTGAATAAAATAGCTCTTGGCTTCCTAGAGTTTGAAAAACATAGAAATTATAGCACCATATAGTGCTTATTTAACAGAAGGACAGTTAAAGTTGTTTATTTTAATTAATTTATGTAAATGCGTGTTTAAAGAAAGGACAGTGCCCAAGTACAGACTTGTAAATACACGTGACAAATTCAAAGAAAGGCAAGGTTCTTATGTCGATGGTCGTAGTGTGGATGCATTGCCAGCAGCTTTCTTTTCCTACCTCTGGTCAGAGAATGTTGTTTCATGCTCAAATTATTTATTAGTTAATTCAAAGGGTGGGCACCCAAGGAATTTAAAACACAGACAATTTGAGATTTTTCAGGAGAATTCATCTTCAACCTATACAAGACGTTATGTGGTAATGTTGATGTCCTAGGAAACAAGTGTGTACACATTGGACAAAGACTTCATGGATTTTACCTATGAAGTAGTTAAATTAATATTATGGTTTATTCAGTAGGCCTCTTAAAGATATAAAATTTAATTTATAGTTGTAAGTGAATATTTAATATATGATCATTACTGTAATAGAACTACTTGCCAAATAGGAAAGGAGCAGAGAAGCAATATAGTAATTTTGCTTGCCTTTGAAGTGAAAGTCTTTTTAGAAAAGGTGTGTCTTGAAGAATGAGTACACTGTAGAGTGGAAGGTTCGGCACATCCATAGAAGGGCATTTTAGGAAAAGGGAGGACAGCGCCCAGGCATGGACTTGTAAATACAAGTGACAAATTCAAAGAAAGGCATTCTCATGTAGATGGTCATGGTATAGATGTGTGTCTAACATCCTTTTTTTCCTACCTCTGGTGAGAGAATGTTCTGTTTCATTATTTCATTATTAGTTAGTTAAAAGGGTCTTATCCTACATGGAGAGTTAGTGGTTCTGGTTATTTTAAAGATATATTCAGTCTAATTCACCAAGTATTGGTTGGACACGAGTCTATGCTGGTCGGTTTGGATACAGGGAGGCATGAAATACCTGGGGATAATTTGGAGAAGAAAAGGATACGGACCAACTGATACATACAGACTTCCTTTATTCACAGAAAGTGAAAAAGAAGGAAAAAATATGTTTGGTTGATCCCTGTCTTCTATTTTCAATTACTGCACTAGGAGAAGATTAAATTAATTAACCACTGTCTTGGGTATAAGAATAGAAATATTTTTAATATGTTGAGAGGCTGGCAAACCATTTTAGCAACTAGTTAGAAACCGTATCACATCTACCTGGTAATCTACACCCCAAGAACAAGGGCAGTCCCACCTGAAATTCTGGAGGCCTGGACAGTTCACCCCGACTGTTGGAATTGGGGCTCTAGGGACCTGCCACCTGGCTTCAGCAGACTCACAGCCCTGGTCGGTCTGTAGAAGCTAGGGTCTTGTTTTCCACACTGGGCACTGCTGTATTTGTCTGATAACTTGCGGTTCTACTTTTGTTTGTCAGATTTCTCTATTAGTACCTTTTATGGATAAGCCCCGTTTTTTTTTAATTGAAGAATAGGCATTTTATGCAAAAAACAAAAATGCAGAGGCTGTGGAGGGTATCATCTTCTGAAGGAGAGTCACTGTGTTTTTTGGAAGAGAAACCAGAATAAGGGTGGGCAGCCAAGTCCAAGGACGGACGTCTCTGACTTGAGGCTGGCTCACTTTTTGTAAGACAGCTGCACCCCATTCCCGGGAACCGTCCTTCAGGGGTGCCATTAAGAGCCTGGGCATGGTCATGGCCACTCCACCTTCTTGGGTCTTGAACTCTAAGTTGGTATCCAGAGCACCAGGAGGAAGTCAAAGACCTGTTTGCCGTTACAACTTCTCTCTGTGCCGGTGCGTGGCTCTGACCTGCATAAAGATCGGCAAATGCCTTGAGAAAAACCCTGGGTTAGTAGCAGGGTCCTGCAAGTTCCACCTAGCTCAGTGGATCCCAATCATGGTTCTATTTGTGTTTGTTTTCTCCAAGATGCCCAAAATCTCTGCTTTGGACTTTCTGCTCAGAATTACCTGGTTTCTCTACCTCTAGCCCTGAGTTCACAACAGCCTTTAGGGAAACAGAAGTGCGTGGAATAAGTGGCTTATCTCTGCAGGCATTCTCTGTCTCTGCCCAGCCTCTCTCTCTCTCTCTCTCTCTCTCTCTCTCTCTCTCTCTCTCTGTCTCCCTCTCTCTTCCTCCTTCTCTTTCTCTTTTCCTCCTTGTCCTTCTTTCTCTTTCTCTCTTTCTCCCTTCTTTCCTCCCTTTCTTGGATCTTGGTCTCTCAAGTCCTGGCTGCTTTAGAAGTTCCCAATGCCTTCAAACAGATTTTATTTATTCAAAAAATCTGTTACTTATTCACTTACTTATTTATTTACTGTTTTTCTCTGCTTTTCTCGCTTTTCCTTGGGAGTATCGGTCCAGCTACCCTTCAGTAGCCTAACACAGAATTCTTCTTTCCATGTAGTTTAGCAGAACCAAAAACTGCCTGCCAAGTCCTGGAGATGGCAGAATAAAGCACTCTCCTTCTTATCTTTCCCTAGAGTCTTCTGGATGTTTTTCAACAAAGAATGAAGAACTGTTTTTTTTTTTTTATTATTGGTTTATGATTCCCGAAAGCCCTTCCGAATTTGTGTAATCTTTTAAGAACCTGGTTTGCCAGTGAGCCGATAGATAGCTATGTCAGAATAGTAAATCATCAATGACAAAAGGAAATGTTTTAAAGGCTCCCTTGAAATCAATGATTTCTGAATCAGTCCAGCCTCTTCTGTATTCAAGCTGCCCAATGTGAGCCATGTTCTCTTTGTGCAGGTGCATCCAGCCCCAAAGGTTCGGGGCAGCTGATGCTATGGGGCTGTTGTCAAGTCATTTTCACTCAGTCCAAGGGCATGGTTAGACATACCAATCTGTCACCAAATTAAGTGCTTTGGGATTTTTTTAAAGGTTGAGTTGAGAGGTTAGATTTTCTCCCTTTGATCTTTCATATTTCAAATAAAGATGAATTGGCAACTTTCATTTCTGATGCATATTTAGGTTTGCCTAGGTTTGGTTTATGCTGGTGTGAGTCTATGGATATGTGGTTTATGCTGGTGTAGGTTTAGATAATGATGTGGTCCCGTGTGATGTGAAGTCAGAGAAGCGAAGGACAGGACAAGTGGGCACAATTCTTTTCACTGAAACCTTTTATGTCAAGGTGCGATTACACGTAAGATGCATCCTCCTTTATGTTGGTAGAGTTTATTCACTTTGAGTTTGAATGCCACACACTTTATGTCTCGTTGAGAGGTCTCACCATTAGTATCTCTTTAGTGTGCCATCCAGGCCCACAGCCAAACGGCCATTCCCCTTTCTTGCCCAGCAATATTCAGCCTCTCTTTCCCTCCTTTAGAATAACTGGTCTTTGCTAGTCATAGAAGGATGCCATCATTGTCTTTCTGTGACAGGGCAGACGTTATTAAACACAGTGCTGTCTCTTATATATTAGAGACAGGGGCACTGCAGCTCATGAAATTTATGGACGCAGTGGCAAGTGATCTATAATATGCATGATGAGAGGGATATAGAATGGGCTCTTCCCTTTTCTTATGGGCAAGCCGCTGAATGTTTATTCATTGAAGCAAAGAAATACAACCGCATTTCAGCCATGCTCTTTCAGAAGCTTCCTGTAGGTTTCCTCCCAATTTATATCTTCTTTATATCTGACATTTGCTTTAGAAAGTTATAAAATTTAATGTTTCAAATATACAATGTTTATAGTTCATACCCCTCTTGTGTTTATCTGTGGTAGGTTTCACAGTGATTTGGATTCAAAAATTTTAAAGGATGCAGGGGTTAATTATCTTGTTGAATCATTTAGTACTCCATAACCAGGCACTGTAGCATGGGAGCATATTCTAATAGTACCTTAGTTTAATAATAAATGAACTTTGTTAATCTAATCCTGGGTAATTCAGGAAACAGAATGTCTTCCTCTTAATGTCTTTCCCTGATAATGATGGAGATTTATATTGATAAAATTGCTTCCACAGAAGACGAAGTGCTCCTGATGGCTGCTTTCAATCACTGGAAGAACCATGAAAGTGCGAGAGATTCCTCCCGGTGAATGAAGCCAGCTCACCACCGTCAAGGGCAAGGGATCAGCGTGTGTTCACATGGAGGCCTCTCACCGAGGGAACCCAAGGGGGACAGCACAGGAATTGCAGAGCCAGCACCCATGGAATGGGCAGGGATTTGGGTTTCATCCAACCAGCCAGTTGATCAATAATCACTGAATGTCTGTCACCCATTGCATCCTCTCCTGAGTAGTGAGGCTAGGCCAGTGCCAGTCACCTGGAAATCCTTACTGTTCTGCAGTTGACATTTTGAGAGGCAAGTCAAACAATATATATAAACAACTAGAATGTCTAGTGTGTTTCAGGAGGTAAATGCCGTGCCGGGATGAGCAGAAGGAGGATGGAGCCGTTGCTGGGCAGATAGACTGATTTTAGATAAAGCCGTCTGGGTGCAGGAAAGAAGACCTTAAAGAGGGAATGACATTTGAGCAAAGTCTTCAACAAACTGAACCCAGGAAGAAAACATTCCGAAAGTCAGAGAAAAGAGGAAGTACGAAGGGCCAGAGCCAGGGAGGACATTGGCGGAGATGCAGCCGCAGAAGCGTCAGGGGCCCTGCAGCCGCGATGCAAACAGAGAAGTGGGCGCATGGAGCATACGGGGCAGAGAACCAGCACCATCTGAATACACTGCTTAGGCTGTTGGGGCCATGGCTTCTCTCGATACCAAATAGGAGGCTGTGGACATCATCTTGGCAGGAAACGACAGTGGCTAGGACCACAGTAGTCACCGTAGAGATGGAGAGAAGTGGCCAGATCATAGATACATTTTGAAGATTAAGCGGACAGAATTTGCTATGGATTAGATGTGGGTGAAACAGAGAGAGAGAGAGAGGATAGCTCCAACATGTGCTGTCTGAGCAGCTAAAGGGGTGGAGCAGGATGAATAAAGTAAAGAAAAGATTGAAATGGAGACGAAGGGCCACTGTAAGTGAGACATCCAGACGCAGCCCAATACTCCCAGGGGAGCTTGCTTACGGCAGATTCCAGTCACAAGAAGCACCAAAAATGTCTCCTCTTTCATTTATACATGACGCAAAATCAAGAGGATAAGCTGCTCCAATTTGAAAGCCACACGTTCCTTTAAGGGCAGGGCTGGGCGAATGGGTTCAACCCTGACTGCTCTCCACCGTCCATGCAGGACCACAGCCTAGGGTGAAGGGGGCCCTTCTCTGGGTGTTGCTGGGAGGGAGAAATATTCCTGAGATGAGCTTAAGACACAGCACTTCTCCCCTGTGGTGTGAGAGCCACTGTGCCTACAAGGACACTCACAGAAGCTGTCATTTGGGATTCGCTGCCAAGAGCAGAGCACGGCTGTTGATGCGTCGAAACTGAAAAGCCTTCTTCAGCTGGGTGGGCAAGACGGCTGTCTATGGAGACCCTCCTGAGTACAGATGCACCTGCTTTTAGCCTCACATAGACGGGGGCTCTTTAGGACTGTGGGCTGACCCTGAGAAGAAGCCCCATGGAAGCCTGCTTATCTCCAAATCCCCCGTCCTTTCTCCTGAAAGACAGTCTCAGTGAGTGAAGTTCTAGCATTATAGATTTGTTCCTTTGTAAGTCTGACAGGATTTATGGTTTGCAAACATTTTTTATGAGAATGAAAATTACTTTGGGAAAAGTCATTCATTTACCACCCTTACTAGTCCTTCCATAGGAACTGATTTCCTATACGAGCTTGAGACATATTTGGAATTGGGCAAATTCCTGCAGAGGGTAAGAGGACCAGGAACAATGAAAAAGTGTGGCTGTCCATGCAGGTAAAAGGGCCCCACAGGCTCATGTGAATTACTTTATTTAACAGCATCCTCTGCTGTTGCTGAGGAGAGAGGAGTGGCCCTGGCTTCTCAGTCATATTTTCCAGCCCTGACTTGTTTACCTGTCTCCAAGAATTGACCCAAAGTAACACCTTTAAAATGGAATTTATTCTCTCCTCTATTTTAAATAACACCTGGATGAATGAGAGTCTTTACAACAGATACGACTAGAAGGAGAGACGCTAGGAAACACAGAGGGAAACATGGGTCATTTGCATCTGCAGCTGTGTGTGTGGCAGCTCAACACTGGAAGCTAAGTTTTCCTATTCAGGAAGATGAAGCTCTCGGTGTCTGTGCCCCATCCCATGCCCCTGGCTACCTATTCACATCCGGGGCCAATTAGTGCTGTTGAATTTATTCCAAAATCCTCAGGCAAAATAGAACTCTTTTTGATTACCTTGGAGTTGACTTCTCCCTAGTTCCTCTCCACAATGATTTCTTGCTTTTCACCGAAACTCTTTGAGAAGTTCTATTTTTTTGTCATTGGTCAGAGCAGCATTTTATTTTGCATTTCAATTCAATTTTTAGTGATGGATTTTGGATTTTTATGTTCACCTGCCAACTACTTTAACCCAGAAAATAGCAGCATTGAGCAGTTCCTGACGTAGCGGAGGTCTACCAGTTGTCATACAGTATCAGCTGCCATTACCCCTTCTGTTGTGTGGTCCTGAGACTGGTGTGCACCTTCACAGCTCAAGGGTCAGTGGTTGCTGCAGGCAATTCTGCTGTTGGATAAATGCTTAGCCCTTTGAGCTTTACATATTTTTAACAGAAGATCAAAGAAGCTGAAAGAGTGATGGAAATTAAACTGGTCTTATCTATCTATATTTTAATGACTGACTTGGCATCCTAGTGTGGTAGCAAGAACTTTGGACTGAAAAAAATATCACTTCACAGCTGTTCGGCTGTGTGACCTGAAGCTTTTTTTTTTTTTTTTGAGACGGAGTTTTGCTGTTATTGCCCGGGCTGGAGTGCAATGGCACAATCTTGACTCGCCACAAACTCCACTTCCCGGGTTTAAGCACTTCTGCCTCAGCCTCCCGAGCAGCTGTGATTACAGGTGTGCACCACCATGCCCAGCTAATTTTGTATTTTTAACAGAGTCAGGGTTTCTCCATGTTGGTGAGGCTGGTCTCGAACTCCTGACCTCAGGCGATCCACCCACCTCGGCCTCCCAAAGTGCTGGGATTACAGGCGTGAGCCACCGTGCCTGACCAACCTGAAGCAATTTAAGTGGACTTTCAAATTTTCAATTTTCCCATTGGGAAAGTGTAAGTTTTGGGAAAAGTCAGTAGTTTTTACATTCTTTTGTTCTGATGACGCTTTTTTGTAAAATCCACATGTGGAAGCCATTAGATCATTTTGTGGGGCACAGTTTGAAGACCACAGGACTTCATGATTTCTGAGATCTACCCATTCTTCCAATCCCAGCTTCCAGCATCCTCTGGGTACATCAGAACCTCCCAGTAAAAGGATGGTGTTGGCAGCTGTCCTGGAAATGCTCAGCCTCGCTGGGAATGGGTCCCCTCTTACTTGCTGGGTGACCGTGAGCATGTTGATCCCACCTCAGAGCCCCCGCTTCCTCCTCCTCTATAAATAGGACCATGGATAGTAGCTTGGAGAATTCAATAAAATATAGTGTGCTGAACACTCAGCACGTGCACTAGGAAGAACCAAAAATGAGCAGAACCCTCACTGATATTTAATGTCCCCTAATTTGTCAAGGGACATTATATTGCATAAGATTTGCTTTAAAGAAAGTAAATTCCTTTCAGGCAAGTTGTTTGAGTCACCAATAGGTTTAAATCAAAGGAAGTTTTTGTCCTCACGATTTTGCATTTTTTAGTGCCTTTCCACAACAAATGTATAAAAGGAGCATTATTTTTAAGTGTAACTATTTTGGAAACTTCTTACTTAAAAGCAATTTTCTACTACAAGTCAAAGGATTAAAGCAAAAAAAAAAGGTGAATCTGCAGCAGCATATATTGTATATGTTTTCTAGAAATACTTTTTTAAAGAAGGCAGAGAACCCTAAGCTAAAAGCAGAATTTAAATTTCTAGCATTCATTCAGCAGCTGTCTCTATAAGGAGACAGGGTTGAATTGTGTCCAAGTCAAGCATCAGATTTCCAGGGAAAGCAGAGGAGAAATTAGAAAGTGTGCAGGAAGCAGCAGAAATGGCTGTTAAAAGGTGATAGCCTTCTAAAATTGACAAGACTTCTTGGGTCAGATAACAGATCCAAGGGCTAGAGGTCTGAATTCAGGCATGGTCGGGGGAGGAGGAGGGGGAAGTGTACAGAAAAAGTGGGTCAGTGCCAAGGGCATCTCAGCCTGTTTGGAGGAATTCAAAATCATTTAGGTAAAGGGTTAGAGGTCAGAAAAAATGATCAGCACAGCAGTGAGGGGTCATTGGGACGTCCTTGGATGGAAGTCCTTCAACCCAGCAGTGTTGCAAGGCCTCAGGTTCCCGGTACCTGTCAGTTTTTGCAGCTCGAGGAGGACAGCCTGGGATCTCAAGCTTATGTTTCATAAAGTTGCCATCCTAAGCTTTGGCATGACAAAGTCTCTCTCCTTGACAACGTTCCTTAGGGCCTTCTCAGCCCTTTTCTCAATGAGGATTCCACGTTGGCTCCCATCCTCGCTGGGCCTGCATACCTCCTTTTCAGCAAGAATCCTGCTGAGGCAGTTTCACAAGAACTTCCCACCCTTAATGCCTGATCATCACAGGCATCCTATCAAATTTCATACCCCTTTCTTTGATGCCTTATCACCTTGGCCTGCCTTCAGCAAGGATTTGTTGTTATTTTGGTTGTCATTTGTTTGTTTGTTTGTTTTATTGAAACAAGGCAGATTCTAGGCTTTATGATTAAACTCTAAACTAATCCACAGGCTGAGGGCCAGATATTCTCTCACCACAAAGCATGAGCACATATAAGTTCAGTCCCATGCCACAAACATCTGTGGCCCTTTCAAGCCAGATGTGAAATCACATCCTGACCAAAAATACAATTTTTTTAATGTGACGTTTTCGAGTGCTTTTAAGATTTTATCTGTACCTACCATGACATTCATCATTTAATCAGTCTCACTCTGCCAACTCAAGGCGACTGTATATCATGCTTTTTAAAACCATCGAACATGCTACAATGCCCAAAACACATCCAGATTGTTATTGCATTGGGTCATTGCATAATCTTTCTGGCTTCGCGCCGCTGCCTCCTAAACTTCCCCAGCCACCAGCACAATCTCTCCAGGAGCACTATACTGTCCCTGAAAGCTCCTCACCCCATCCCTGGAGGGCAGTTCCTGCTCCCCAAATAGCTCGAGCCTCCTTGCTTGTCCCCTTTAATCCCCCAGTGCTTGGGGTACCCATATATTGACAACGGGTGTTAAGAAACAATGTCATCTAAAACCCCTTCCAGATGCAATTACATTTTAACTCAATGGGAAATGGCTTGTCATACACTTCACGAGGAATATGAATGTTGGCATTTTAGGAAACTGCAGCCAGTGAATATGAAAGAGATGCTGCCCAAAGGGCTGGTCATCCAGGGTGCCACCTGCCAACCTTGTGGTACGAGTGTCCTGGGCTGGAGGAAACCTGCCTCTCCAGGGACATGGGAAAAGAACTCATCATGGGAAAAAGAACCATCTTCTGCCTCAAAGACAGCATGGTTATGTAGGAAGATTGAGAAGAGTAAATAGCTCCAAAAGAAAAAACAAAGTAAAACAGAACACCAAGTAGGAGAATATCAACTGTAAGTATACGCCAAAGTGAATTAAAATCCACCATGGAGAAGAACACGCATGCTGAGAGGGGCTCTCTCCTTGGCTCTGCCGTCCTGAAGGCAGTGTGGGGAGAGAAGGAGCTGGCTTTTGATAGCAATACGGACACTCTGGGAGCTGTGCTGAATGTTTCATACTTTCCTTAATGTAATTTCCACAGCATCACCACAATCATTACTGTCTCTGCTGTACATGGGGAAAAGCTTGAGTTAACAGAAGTTAAACAATTCACCAGTGATCACACTTACATGAAAAAGCCAGGTATTCTATCTGTCTGATAACTTGAGCCTGGCCATTACATTCAGTTCTGCTGTCTTTAAAATAAAAACCCTGGATTAAGTCATCTCTGGTGGTGTTTTTTTTTGTTGTTGTTGTTGTTGTTTTTTGAGACGGAGTCTCATTCTGTCGCCCAGGCTGGAGTGCAGTGGCGCTATCTTGGCTCACTACAAGCTCCGCCTCCAGGGTTCACACCACTCTCCTGCCTCAGCTTCCAAGTAGCTGGGACTACAGGTGCCCGCCACCAAGGCTGGCTAATTTTTTTTTTTTGTATTTTCAGTAGAGAAGGGGTTTCACCGTGTTAGCCAGGATGGTCTCGATCTCCTGACCTCGTGATCCGCCCGCCTCGGCCTCCCAGAGTGCTGGGATTACAGGCGTGAGCCACCACGCCCGGCCTGCTTTGTCTACTTTTATTTTGAAATCTTGGGGATCATATATGGTAGATGTGTTAAAACTACAAAGAAATTGTCATATGGCCAGGTCTGACTATTTTTTTGTTGTACTTAACTTACTCATTTATATATTAAAGAAAAATGGGTCTAAAATTAATTCAATTTCAATAAGATTATTCTACATAGCAAATATAACTGGTGTTTTATTTATTACATTACGTATTATCTATTTTTATTATTATACTTAACAATATATTATTCATAAATAACATGATAAATATTAAATAGGATAAATAATATTAAATATATTTACAGATAAAAATACATTATTCTGTATTATTATTTATAATGATATATTACTTATATCACTGGCATTTTATCTTAATTAAATCAACTACCATGTTTCATTAAATATTTAAGACAAACATGTACATAATATAAGGATTTTTTTTAGTGATTAGTTATATTTGGGAAATAGAAAATAAGGTTTGGAGAGATCGTACTAAAGAAAGTACACAAAATGCATGAATGTCACAGACTGATACTAGAGAACCAGAAATTTAACTCGAAATTTTGAATGAAGTCTAGTAAAAAATACAATTAATTAAGTGATTCAGAGATTCCATGAGGGAAAAGAAAATTACTCATTTAGGAGGGAGGGACACATCTATTTTAGTTCACTGGCACATTTTCCCCATGGGTCTCCCTAAAAAGGACAGTGTGTGACATGGTAAACACTGTTCATGAGTGTTCCAACCAGAAACACAGTGGCCATTTCCATCGTGCCCCTCAAGGCATGGGGCGCAATGCCACAGTGCGATTCCACAGGAGAAGTGTCCTGGAGCGACAGGCTGGAGAGAAGGCATGGGGCACAATGCCACAGTGCGATTCCACAGGAGAAGTGTCCTGGAGGGCACAATGCCACTGTGCGATTCCATAGGAGAAGTGTCCTGGAGGGCACAATGCCACAGTGCGATTCCACAGGAGAAGTGTCCTGGAGGGCACAATGCCACAGTGCGATTCCATAGGAGAAGTGTCCTGGAGGGCACAATGCCACAGTGTGATTCCACAGGAGAAGTGTCCTGGAGGGCACAATGCCACAGTGTGATTCCATAGGAGAAGTGTCCTGGAGCGACAGGCTGGAGAGAAGACCCAGGCGGCTGGCAAGCTAAAGGGCACCATCCAGAAATGCAGCTCTCTTCCAGCCTAACTTAGAGAAGCCTGCATTTCAGGATGGATGACATACTCCTCAGGCAATAGTCCAATTATGTTTTTCAATGAATCCTTCTTGTAATTAGCCTTTTAATAAATAATGAGCATGAGTTAGTAGCAGGTTAGACTCCCCAAAAATATCTGGAATACAGCAGCTATTCCATGCTCTTGGCTTAAGGTAGAAGCGTGTGGTTTAACAAGATTTACAACCTCTTATGAAACCTGAGGTACCTGACAAGAATGTGTAGTTGTATACATAATTAAATGCCCAGCTCACATAAAAAGGACAAAGGGAAGTAGAGCCCAAATGTTCCTGAAGAAGTAACATGTTCGGTCTTCTTGCTTACTGACTCATGCACCTGCAAGAATGCAACATTTTATTCCAGAGTCAAGCATAGCAGTGTTAATTTTCTTAAGTGGGTATGACCCAGAATCATCCTCAGCCTTATAAAGATAAACAAAAAGCAACTTTAAAGACCATAGGAATGTACGGTAAACATTTAATCTTGAACCAGGGAGTCCAAGGGAGTCCGAGGTTGCAGTGAGCCGAGAGCACGCCAACACACTCCAGCCTGGTGACAGAGCAGATTCCGCCTAAAAAAAAAATAATAAATAAATAAATAAATAAAAGTAACAGAGTGCATGAAGCTCCTATGTAAAGCTACTAATTCAAATCATTCAGTTAAATGTTGAGAAACATACGCCAGACTTGATAAAGATTGTAGAATAATTCATCTGTAACTACATTGTGATAATTATTGAGATTTCAGAGTCAATAGCCTATTTACCTCTCTCCGAGTCTATGTCAGTACAAGGATCTGGCCTAAGTAAACAAGTGTCTTAAACTTTCTTCTTTCTGGTAGATGCAAGGGAGAGACCCAGGGAAAAATTCTCTTCACTTCAAAGGATTATCAAGTTGTCAGTACACATGTTAATACTAGAAACATTAAGAAAAGGAAGAGAGATCAAGTTCTTGTCTTCAACCCTTTGGAAAAATTATTATCAGATCTATGAGTGACCATTCCTTGGACTTTGATTATTGATTGCCATGTTGTTAAATAGCAGGTCCTTAAATAAATGGTAGAGAATTCTTCCTAGGGTAATATGATCTGTAATGTTCCCGTGTAAATTCCTGGAAAACATGACTCAGTTGGCCACCTGTCCACATGCACAGCTTCATCACCACGCTTCCTCACATTCTGTGCTTTGATAAGAACAAATTATTTTTCATTCCTGGGCCTCCACACGTGCTTCATGCATCCGTGACTCTGCAGGAGCTGTTTCCTCTTGTCTGGAATGCCATCCTTCACCTTGTTCATCCTGAAAACCCACCATGTACGCTTCAAGTCACATCCAGACACCTCCTCTTCCAGAAATGTCCTTTCTGCCCTCCCTCAACCCTATGAAGAAGTATTAATTCTGTCTTCTAAGCAAAAAAAATTTAAAAGGACTCCTTAATATTTCTAGCAGCAAAATCAATAGGTTTCTAGTAGCAAGGAAGTCTCCCATTCAGTACGAGCGCCTCTCATTGTAATTACACCATGCTGCATTGTTTCAGGCATAGCCACATCTAAATCAAATCATATTTTCTTTATGCACTATAAACCAATCTTAAATTAGAGTCAACACCTTATCACTTTACATCAGGATAATATAAAAGTTCTCAAGGTTTAAGTGTGTGCACTTTATATTCAAGGAACTAATGCAAATCCAGGAAGGAAGAAAATGCTGATCTTGTCTTTTGGTAATCTGTTATACTTCTTTATGCCACAATTTTTTTGCACATTTTTTTTTTGTCAGGCAGCCTGGTAACACTCTACAATTGATAGTGTAATTTAGTCTCTTCATGATTCAATTGTATTCATCCCAAAGGCTCATTTCCTTGAGTGTCTTCCAGCTGGAATTCAGAATTTTAAATGAAAGTTTAGCAAGGAAATTCAAGGGGTACCGAAGAAATAAGTCATTTCTTTTATTACAGGAGGGCTTCTAGGCAGATTAATGAAATGCAGTAACATGGATATTAGTTGTTAATAAGGGTATGGCACTTGGTCTATTGCATGTCATCTATCACCCATTGGATCTGATTGATGGGACACACCGTGTCTAATATGATGTGCATTAAGCACTTTCCCTAAAGGATTAAAACACTGACACCTTGTGAATGAGAAGCAGTTTAATATTTCAACAAGGATGTTTCCACTGTGATTCATTACAGGTAAAGCATAATTTTCATCCTAGTGAAATCAAAACTATGTACCATTCTGTATTCAATCTTCTATCCCACATATACTGCCTTCACAGTACTTCTTAGACAAGCACATCCTGTTCTTTTATTAGAACAAATAATTATCTGGGCCCAGATACACCCAGTGGGAAACAAATATTTTGAAGACTTGCCTGAGAGCTTTGCTCCACGGTAGAAATGATTCCACCAGGGTAATATTTTCTTTGGAAACTGCTGTAAACCGACCTATCAGGAAAGAAGAGGTCTGGAAAATTGTGTGATGATCAGTATGCACTTAGCTCAACAAAAAGAGAGTAGGCTGAAAATAGAAAGTAGGTCTTGTCTGGCTTAAGTAAATTCTGAGATGACAGGTCTATTACAACAATGCAGCCCAACAAATAGTCCTAATATAGAAGCTCTAACAGCAAGGGAAACATCTGAGAAGCACAGGAGGATACTTCTGTTTTTTGTTAACTGTTTTCAAAGTGCTAGGGGAGGAAGGTAATCCTTTTCTGATTCATATGAGTTCAGGAGAGAATGAGACAAAGTTGGGAAAGTATGAGAGGAAAACTATGATCATGCTTAAAAATAGAAAATAGGCAACAAAGTGCTAGGCACCCAGGCTGACTTAAATACCGTAAAATGTTAAGGCTGTAAGTGAAATTAAAAATACTTTTTTACCATCATTTTTTTCCAATTTTACTGTCAAAGAAATTATAGCCAGAAAAGTGAAGTTGCTTATTTAATGCCACACAGCTAGCTAGAACCTAAAATGGAATGATAACATCCACGGTCTTGCAGTAGTACCATGCTTTTTACACAGCAGCAAGAATCCATCTGTAAATATTAATACATGTGAAAATAATCAGAATAGAGATGAGAAACAGCAAAATACATACTTAACCACCACCTTTTAAGAGTAAGAAGTGTAATAACGGGTCCAAAGAAAAAGGTGGCAATCGAGACCAATGTAAGTCATTATGCACAGCTGCTTTGGGAAATTTCCAGAAGGAAAAAGTTTTCAGGAAACAACCATATGGCTTTGTTTTGTATTCATTTACTCCATCCACATTGACAGAATTTGTTCTGCTTAAAACATGGGGGATACAGGGCAATGTCACTGTGATGTCCCTGTCATCACGGAAGGTTTGGGCCACTTCAAGATTGGCATAAGGTCTAGGCAGACCTCAGAGACTAAATACTCCATCCCTCCTCCATCAAGCATGTGAAAATGCACCCAAATACTACATTAGGGGAAAACTCTTATGCAGGTTAACTTGTGAAATTTTCTGGCAAGCATTATTTCATTCAACTAATAACTTGGCTGTAATTTCCAAGAAATCCAAGGAGTGCACTCTGAAATTTTTTCTTTTTTCTTTTTCTTTTCTTTTCTTTCTTTTTTTTTTTTTTTTTTTTTTTGCTGAGATCGAGTCTCACTCTGTTGCCCAGGCTGGAGTGCAGTGGCACGATCTCAGCTCACTGCAACCTCTGCCTCCCGGGTTCCAGCGATTCTCCTGCCTTAGCCTCCCGAGTAGCTGGGATTACAGGAGCACACCACCATGCCTGGCTAATTTTTTTGTTTTTGGTAAAGACGGGGTTTCAATGTGTTGGCCAGTCCTGGCTCCTTGAGCTCCTGGCCTCAAGCGATCTGCCGGCCTCGGTTTCCCAAAGTGCTGGGATTACAGACGCTTGCCGCCATGCCCAGCTAATTTTTCTTTTCTTGTTTTTTTTTTTGTTTTTTTTTTTTTTTTGTATTTTTAGTAGAGATGGGGTTTCGCCATATTGGCCAGGCTGTTCTCGAACTCCTTACCTCAGGTGATCCGCCCACCTCCACCTTCCAAAGTGCTGGGATTACAGGCGTGAACCGCCGCGCCCAGCCTCACTCTGCTTTCAACTCCACAATTAAGCCACCGCGATTGGATGCTGGGACAGGAGGATGCAATGAAATCACTGCACAAGCAGCAGCTCCCTGAGTGACTCAGGATGACATCAGCACAGGACCCATGGAAACCATCAGCTTCTAAACTGGACATCTGCACCCTGGCCAAATATAAGTGCTCAGGCCCCTCAGGTGGTGTTTGCATTCGCTTTGCACCTCTGTGCAGCCTGCTCGGGTCAGCGCTGGGCTCCAGCAATGCCAGCGTGGAAGCCCGGCTTGGTGCTGTTGGTACAAATGTGGCCTTTATGAGTAACTAAGAATATTCTTCAAAATGTGTTTGATTTTCCATAAAAAAATGTCCTTCGAGAACAGTTGTACCAGCGGCCACCCCCATATCCTTCACTCTGTGTCTTCACTCTCAGCCCAGGACACCGAGTTGGCGTCTGCATAGTGCAGATGTCAGCCTGGGTTGCTGGGTTCCTTTATTCATTCAACATGGGAAACATAAGGAGCAGCAGTGGGTGTTTCTCATTGGCTGGCTGTCCCATGTGATCAACGGGATCCACTCCAAGCACAGGTGGGGCTGTGGTCCTCCCCACCTGTGCTGTTGGAGAGACGCTCAGACCCATAGCTGGCCAAGGGCCTCTCGGCATGGCAATGCTGTCATGTTGGTTGTGACTAGTGTTACTATTCCCTTTATGTTTCTGTGGTGAGAGATTAACATAGGAAATATTAGAAGGGATTATTAAATTAGTTGGCTCTCACAATGGAACACAAAATGCAGCCCTGTGGGAACTGGGCACAAACGGAATTGGTGAATGAGGATGATGTGTAAGATGGGGCCACTGAGACCACAGGGCATGGTGACAGAGGCTCGGGAAGCTGGCCACCATAGCACGGGAGAGATCGGTGAAGATGGGGCAAGTTTTGCCTCATGTTGTTTCCTTTTGGGAACGTTTGTGTTTCTATTACCCATGATCTCTCATCCTTTGGTGCTAGTCTCTTTCAAATGTGCTTGGCATTCAGTATCTTTGCTTTTTATAGCGGTCATCAGGAAGGCTCCTGTGAAGAACTGTCTGAGTAATCCTGAGTAATAAGGAAAAAGCCAGATACACTAAAATATGAGGAAATATCAGCCAATGCAAAGAAAAAACCTCCTAAGACCTAGAGGTGCGAGTGAACTTGATAGCCTCTCAAAATATTAAGAAGTTAATGAATAAAAGCACATGAAAAAATGAAGTCAGAGAAGAAGGTGGGAGCCGATCCCATAGGGCATCTTGGGCTATAGGAAGGAATTTGGACCAAGTGTGGTAGCTCACGACTGTAATCCTAGCACTTTGGGAGGCCAAGGAGGGAGGACGGCTTGAGGCCAAGAGTTCAAGACCAGCCTGGGCAACATATGGGAGGAGAAAAGGGAAGCTTGCTTGAGGCCAAGAGTTCAAGACCAGCCTGGGCAACATGGCCAACCTCATTTCTATCAAAGAAAAAATTAAACGAAGAATTATCCAAGTGTGGTGATGCACACCTGTAGTCCCAGCTACTTGGGATGTGGATGTGGGAGGATCACTTGAGCCCAAGAGTTAGAGTCTGCAGTGAGCTATGATGGCACCACTGCACTCCAGCCTGGGTGAGAGAGTGAGACACTGTCACTCTCAGATTTTCTGACATAAGAGATGAGAATATGGGGAATGAGAAAGAGAAAACTTATGATCCACCCTTAGGTTTGGGGCTGAGCAACTGGATGGATGATTGCAATTTTTACTTACATATGAAAAAGAATGTTGGGGGAGCAGACTCATGAGGGGTGCAGCGAAGTGGCGGTGGGGCAGAATCACAAATTCTGTTCAAGACCTTTTTATAAACAAAAGGGCCAGCAAATAACTAAGGGAGGTGTTGAGTAGGCAGAAACCATAATGCTTGTTTGGAAATTCAGATTGGTTCCAATGCAACTGGTATAATAAGAAATAATTTGAGCATAACAGAAATTCTCAAATGTCATGTTTGCTTATGTCTATTAGGAATATTAGATCAATGCGGAAAGCTACCCAGATGTACCAGGCCATGAAGGAACACACAAACGCACCCACGCATTCAACTTAAATTTCTCCCTCATGTCCTGAGCTCACCTTTCTACATCTGGGGTTAGGACATACCTTCCTGTATCAAATACGCCCTGCCACCACTTCATAACCCTCAGGACACCCACTTCCAAACAGAAACACGAGGGCTTTTTCAAAATAAACTGTCAGACTTATTGTAGTTATGTCTTCTCAGCCACTTAGCCCATGCAAAACTGTGCTGAAGTCCTCAATCATTTTCTAACTTTTTCACTTGTCACTGATGAATTTTTGAGCATTGGGTCTCGCCCCATTTTCCCTGTAAGTCCTGCGATTTTGACTGCCTGATTTTACTCAAAGTGATGATCTTATTTCAGAACTCACTGTAAAAGTTCCTGGTGCTGTAGTGAAAAGGCAGGGTGAGAGATGGGAATTTGGGAGTCTTGGATACCAGGGTTAGAGGACGTCATCTGTGGAGCACCTTCACGTATGATCACAGAGTGTGATTTCTCAGGAGCTGGCTTCCTCCTCTAGGAGCACTGGGTCCTGGTCCCCATCTCCACATCTCACCTTCTAGCACAGGGCCTGGCTGCTGGAGCTGCTTGGTGATTTCCTCAGCGAACTATTCCTGGAACAATATATGTCATTCTTCAAAATCCTAATCGCTGTGAATAAAATGGTGTTCGTTGCAACTTTGACTGAGTCTGAACCGAGTTGTACGCAGGCATTAAGTCCATTTTATTCTTAAAATATGTGTGCAAATGTTGGCTCCAGTTTTCGTTTGTTTGTTTTGGGTGTGCATGTTTTGTTTCATTTTGGAGGCTCTGTAAAGTTCTCCAGATTGTGTCCTGCTGACCCCCCCGAATAATGCAGCAGGTGTGGCCCACCCCATGGCCCTCTCAAGGGCCTTCATGACAGCTCATGCCTGAGCTGTGGCCCATGGCGTCCACGGACCCACAGGAAACTTACATATCTTTTTTACTCCAGTTGTCCCATTCCGGGCCCCATGGGCATCATACCCACATTCCCCCCAAGTCCCCAGAGCATTAGCCCCTATATCAGTGGGGGTTCAGCTGGTGTGGAGGGCACTGTGGCTTGGGCAGGAAAAGTGAGGCAGAAAAGATAGTGGCTTCTTTAGAATAATGTTCTCTTTCTCCCTCTGTAGCCATCTTTATAGATGGGAGGATAGGGGATTTGCTCAATTGGTTTTGTTAAAATCACTCCTTTTAGAAACATGTGAAATAAAATGGCTGGCACAGCAGTGAGAAAGTTTGAAATCCTAGAAGATGAAGCTTTAGGGCTTTTGTCATAGCTGTGGGCAGAACAAGCGCCCTACCCATTCATGTCAGAGCTGGTGAAGTGGGGCAGGGAGGGACGTGGGTAGGGCCTTTCCTTACCGCCCTTAAAAACCCCTCCATGTCCCTGCTAATCAGCTGCTTTGTCCCAGAAAGATTCTTTTCTTTGCGCTTTCCTTAAACATGCTACTTTCTCTGAGTTATGAAATGGGTAAATGCCAGTAAATAAATGCTACCTCTTTGTGTCTCATAATCCACTTCCTAAAACTGCCCACCATTGCTACCTCCAAGACCCTTCCCTGAACTGGCCCAGCAAACATTTTATGACTGGCTCTCAAGCAGACCCACTTGTGTCCAAAATCCTTAGCAAATGGGCCAAGCTGGCTGCCTTCCTGCTTTGGGTACGTAAAATTCAATGTGTGTAAATAATCACACTCCCAACCATTCACTTGGGGAAAGTTATTGTATTTCCCATGCTGTTGAAAACCCAGCGTGTCAAAGTCATGCTTCATAGCATCACCCCGGGCAGATATATCATCGTCTCACTCCAGTAAAACCTCTTTATGGGTGATAGATTTTATTTGTGGGTTTATGACAAATATCTGAAACATCAGGTATTCATGTTGTAATCACCTTTTACGGGCTTTAGTTTTCTCCCATGGTCAAAAAGAACACGCACACCGTTGCCTACGATTTAGAAAGGCTGAGACTTGGGTACTCATTCCCCTGCCTTGGGCAGGTTGCTCAATTTCCCCATGTTGCATCTTTATAAAACCTACCTTGCACAAAGGTGATGATAATTAATTGGGCATTAATTCTAGTGTTCTTTGAAGATTTAAAAGTGCTCTTTGTGGCTATCACTTCAACAGCTTTATGACTTTGGGTCTTTTTTCCTGGGTTTTACTGATTTTTTTTTTAATTAATACATTAACATTAACTCCTAAATGAGAATGTTCTTCTGGCATTTTTTCAGTTTTGAAGAGTAACTTTTCAGGTTTGGCAAAAGAAACTGACATAAAAACATGCCAGGATTTGCATTAGTGAGATTTACTATATTTCTTTGTTCTTAATGCTAGAGGGTGAGAAACCTGCCATGCACACAGACAGGCTTGAAATATATTCTGCAGATAGTTCGTTCTAAGAAATGCTGAGTGAATGGTACATGTGATTGGGACACCATTATACGCTGGCACAACCTGGGTTGTGGGGGAATTGGTTCGTTTCCATAGGGAGGAAGTGAGGACTGTCCTGGCAGCTACTGAAGGAGGAAACGGTCACTGAGGAGAGAGATGTTCATGCTGTGGACTGTCTTTCTGTACAGGGATGAGGTCAGGCATCTGAAGCCAAAAACCCAGAGACCCATGGGTCCTCCTTTGGACGTGTAGGCCAACGTGTAGGGCCCACCAGACACGGTCATAAATGCCTCTGGGTTTCTTGAAAGCAGACACTCTGGAAACAGGAACTGCATTTCTCTACCACACACTCAGCATTGGGATAAACGAGTCCCGCAGATAAGGCAGAGAGGTTTCTAGAAATTGTCAAAATGGCCCTGGAATCTAGTTCTATGTATGCACCTGCTGTGTAATCTTGAGCACATTTTATGAGTTGTCTCATCAGCTGCATCCTTATCAATTGAACAACAACAACAACAAAAACATGATCTCTTCTGAGAACGGAATGCATTGAAATTTCAAATTATGTATTATTAAGTAGGGGTAGGTATAAAGTTAATTTTTTTTAGTTGAACCATCTTATGGTGAAAAATGAATGCTTGTGCACTGTTGATGGGAGTCTAAATTCATCTAACCATTGTGGAAAACAGTATGGCGATGCTTCGAAGACCTACCATTTGAACCAGTATTCCCATTGCTAGGTATATACCCAAAGGCAAATAAATCATTCTACCATAAAGACACATGCACACATATGTTCACTGTAGCATTATTCACAGTATCAAAGACATAGAATCAACCTAAATGCCCATCAGTGATAGACTGGATAAAGAAAATGTGGTACATATACACCATGGAATATTATGCAGCCATAAATAAAAGAATGAGATCATGTCCTCTGCTGGAACATAGATGGAGCTGGAGGCTATTATTCTTAACAACCTAATGCAGAAACAGAAAATCAAATACTTCATGTCCTTGCTTATAAATGGGAGCTAAATGATGAGAACACATGGGGACAAAGAAGGGAACAACAGAAACTTGGGCCTATCAGAAGGTGGAAGGTGAGAGAAGGGATAGGATCAGAGAAAATAACTAATGGGTACTCAGCCTAAATACCTGGATGATAAAATAATCTGTACAACAAATCCCCATGACACAAGTTTATCTATATAACAAATCGGCACATGTACCCCTGAACTTAAAATAAAAGTTAAAAATAAAAAGTTGAACCATCTAACGTAAGAAGGTATATTTAAAAGGCATACACACTGCACGAAGGTAAGCTAAACATTAAATTAGATTTAGATGTGGCACAAAATACATTACCTTGGGAAAATAACTACACACTTGGATGCAACGCAGTGGCCTTTTCCCTCAGCACGTTCACCGTATCAGCTTACAAGCTTCCTGACTCCATTCCAGAAACAGCAAGCGTCCACCCAGCCAATGATGCTCTCCATTCTGAACCATACTGAATTAGATAATGTATATTACAACTATGACAAGCAAAAGAAGCAATGATGGCAAGGAACTGTTCCTACATTTCACACACATTCAAAAAATTCCAAGTAAATCTCCGTTGGTTGAACTCCAAATAGGAAAACTCCAACAGTAAAACTCAAATGAATTCTCAGTGTTTAATCTGGCAACTGTGCAGCCATTGTAAAAAACTGTCAGCATTGCTAAAATTAAAAGTGCTACATATTCAGACATGAGGTAATCAATGGATCTAGGGATGAGCTCAGGCTAGGTATAGAGTGTCCACAAAAAATAAAAATTCGCCTCCGCTATTTAATTTTCATCACATTTTGGCCATGGATGAGGAGAGGAATCACATTTTTTAAAGCCTAAAACATTTTAATTATATTTTGCCTTTACCTTTTTCCATACTGTTTTTATAGCAATCAAGCAGTTTGATTTACTTTGTAAAGTAAGGTTTATCTTTGTACATGAAGTTTACTAAGTGGAATGTACACACTGACATACCAATTAATTTCTTAAGACCTATCATTGTCTTTGAATATGTAAAATAAAGAGATTTAAATGATGTTTATTACTCACAGAGAGCCCTACAATGTGTTTTAAGGAACGAAAATAAGAGTATGACTAGGAACAGGTGTACAATGATATGTACAATGGCAATTTAGACAAACAAAAAAAGTGCTTTTTTTTTTTTTTTTTTTTTTTTTTTGCTGTCCAGGCCACTGTAAAATAGAAATGCACTGAATAAAATCCAGAGTGGGATAAGTTAAGGGTGAAATGAGCTAGAGGAAGTCTGATTGCAACAGGCCAGCGCTGCCTTCATTGACGCCCGAGGCTGGGGAGGGGAAGACGGAGCTGAGGCCCCAGGCTGCGCTCTGAATGCCACTGGGGAAACCGTCATAAGCTCCATGAACCCCGTCCCCTGCACCACGCTCCGCGGCCCTGCAGCTCACATACAACTGGAACGTGGCAAAACGCAGAGCACAAAGTGGATGCTTTGAATACAACTTGGAGTCGGTTTCTTGATTCCAGTGTCGTAAAATGTCTTTTTTGCCCAAGCTGCGTAGTAGGAAAGAAGAGAATTCACAGTGAGGAAGGAAATCCCGCTCCCGTGGCGAGGCTCACAGACTG
Source organism: Homo sapiens (assembly GCF_000001405.40). Classification (NCBI taxonomy): domain Eukaryota; kingdom Metazoa; phylum Chordata; class Mammalia; order Primates; family Hominidae; genus Homo; species Homo sapiens. Next base: position 4,188,360 of record NC_000010.11, on the reverse strand, counting down.
TGTGGCCATCTTGGCGCACCATTTCGGGGTTCACAGGATGCTTTGGGACTCGGCAGTGCTTTAGATCCACGTCTAGGAAACTCAGTCTGTGGCCCCGCATGGGAACCTTTCCTCTTTCCTTCGGCACCGCAGCTCTCCCGTCCCAGAGCCTGTTTCTCAAGGTGTGGTCCAGCAGCAGCACCAAGCCCCGAGAGCCTGCGGAAATGCGGACTCTCAGGCCTGAACAGTTTTCACTGAATGAGGATACGCATTTAAATCGAACCATCGGGTAATTATTTGCACTTTAAAGTTGGAGAATGGCCATGGATTGGGAAATGAATAACATTTTTTAAAGCCTAAAATATTTTTATTATAGTTTGCCCCTACCTTTTTCCATACCGTTATTGGTACATATACACATATTCCATGTACATATACACCATGGAATACCATGCAGCCATAAAATAAGAATGAGATCATGTCCTTTGCAGGAAAATGGATAGAGCTGGAGGCTATTATTCCTAGCAAACTAATGCAGAAACTCAAATACTGCATTTTCTCACTTATAAGTGGGAGCTAAATGATGAGAATGCATGAACATAAAGGGAAAGCAACAGAAACGCTTGAACCTGTCAGAGGAGGGAGGGTGAGAGAAGGGAGAGGATCCGAGAAAATAATTAATGGGTACTTGGCTCAAACACCAGTGTAAAGCCTGGATCCTTTCTCCTGACATTGACGTTTGTCATTATTCAAAGCTAAGCCGGCATGGGGCCTGCCCTTCTACACTACTGCTGCGTGCTCAGCACGTGTGCTGGATGGACAGGTGCCGCCTCACCTCTTTTCCACACTGGGCTCAAGGAAGGAAGGAGCCTTGTTTATCTTCACCATCTGCAGCACCTGGTCTAGTGCCTCTCTGAACAATTCGTTGCATGAATGAATAAGAAACTTTGGAGAAAAATCCTGTCCCCTCTTTCCGGAGCTGCAGAACCCAGATGGCGTAACTGTGACATCGCAGGCAACTGTTACAGCAAACTCAGCAGAGACGGGCAGAACACAGAAGGAGCTGCGGTGAGCCAGGCCCTTGGGGTTCTCAGGAAAAGGAAGAACTGTCAGTCTGAAGAGGTAACAACACCAGGTGCTGTTGTAGGCAGCTTCTCATTGCCTGAAAATGAAAATGTCATTTCTTAACTTTATATAAAAATCTCCAATTTGATTCCAAGCTACTTTTCTCAGCACTTGCTCCCAAGCCATCTTTTGTCCATTTCAGGGCATGTTTCAGGAGCATGAGAATCCTTGTTGCTTTTTACTCGTGGGCCCTGTGTCTTTCAGCCTCGGTGTCTCTGCATTCGTTTTCCTCAGATGAACTGAGCTTCCTCACCATGCGCACCTGCCATCGGCCTACCTTTCTTTCTAGATAGGGTTTTCATCTTCCTCCACCCAAAGGATCATTCTCTAACATCTATCCAGAGAGAAGAAAGGCCTTCTCTCCCCCTACTTTTACCTAAATCGCTTGATATCATGATGCTTGCCCTTACCAGAGTGAACTTGATTTATAATTATTTGAATCTATTAGAATCAGTGACGATCTTCCATAAAAGTTGGAGTCATTTTTGTGATTCTTACTACCTACTTCAGGGTTCTGCACATATTTCATCTTCAAAATACTTTCCATATTACATTGGATAGAATTTGCTTAGTGGAGCAGGTTTGAGATGGACTGTGCTCTGCTGAAACCTTGGGACTTGAACAACTTTGGAGAGGTCTTCATAGGACGCTAGAAAAGAAACCATGAACTTCATGTGAACAGCACGTATGAAGACTTTAAAAAGTCATTGCAAATACATGTACTTGAAAATCCTCACAAGTGGAACTCCAGTAGGAATATGCCCTGGTCTGGCCTTGTATTGGTCTTCTTCTGTCCATCCCTTCTCTGTGCAGCTTTATTCATTTCATTCAAATGCTCTCAGCGGGTAGCCTCTAAGTAATACACATACTAAATGAATAGTTCTTTCTCCTGCCTGCTTGAAGAACTCAGCAGCTCTTTATACTCCGTGCCTTGAACAATCCAAAGATTAGAAGTATGGCTTATTTGATCAAGTAATTCACACTAATGTTGAAGGAATATAATGTAAATACAGAAGGCGAGATAATAAATAAAGATGCAATCCCTTAACAGAAAGTAGGTTTGTACATTGTGGTGTATTAATAAATGCTCAATTTCAAACACAAAGTAAGACAACGAAACACAAAAATCATAGTTTAAAAAAACACCCTCAGCTGGACATGGTGGCTCCCGCCTACAATCCCAGCACTTTGGAATGCAGAGGTGGGGCAAGTGGATCTGTTGAGCCCAGTAGTTCAAGTTCAGCCTGGGCAACATGGAGAAACCCGTCTCTACTAAAAATTAGAAAAAAAAAGTGGTGGCACACACTTGTAGTTCCAGCTACTTGGGAAGGTGAGGTGGGAGGATTGCTTGAACTGGGGAGTTCAAGACTGTAGCGAGCCGTGATGGCACCACTGCAGTCTAGCCTGGGTGACAGAGTGAGACCCTGTCTCAAAAAACAAAACAAAAACAAACAAACACTTTCTAGAGCATTAAGATAAATAAAATAGGAAATAAGAAGACCTACCATCCTGAGATATAACTAAATCAAAATGTTTTCTAAAAGGCCACTTCTAGCATAACTGAAATAATATAGAAGGTGTGATCTAGAATTGAGGAATCATACTAATTAAATACGATCCTCCCTTTTGCGTCTTGTAGTTGTTCAGGTAAAAAAATCAATTATAATCTAGTTTTAAACTGGAAACTGCACAAACGGTTTCCTTAAATAAGTTCGCATCTCTGTGGTGATATCTCCCTGTTCTAATCAGCTAATAGTTGAAGATCTAGCGGCTCACAAGTGCCTCGCTTTGCTTCTGAAATCTAGGAGAATATCTCACACTTTCTCTGCTTTAATCTTCCATTTGGTTCTTTCACTGTTATGGTTGCTCTTGAGGGGATGGTCAGATCACATCTGCTAATGGATGCTTGGTTTGATGGAATCAGAGGATTCCAAAGAGCAAATGCTGAAAGCATGCTTCCCTGCCCAGGCCTGTTCAGCTCCCTCCCACCAGTGGACGTGAGTTTTCATCTCTAGTCACAAGGTGTGTCTCTAAAACTGACAGACGCACATGGCACTGAGGGCCAGGGAACATGGTGGAGACGGGCGGGAGCGGTGTGCGTACATCACAAAGACACCTTCAAAGTTTATTTTTGCAGCATTGTAGAGTTAGAGAGTGCTGTGGTGTCACCGTGAAAGAGGACATTCTCTTGCCTCCATTAAAATAATAATAATAAAATTCTTAAAAAACTAAAATGCAAGGTGTATTCTAAGAGGAAATGTTGACAGCCAAGCCAAATGGGCAGGTCAGTATCGGGATGCACAGTGAGTGGAAAGGATCACCAGCGAGTAAGTCTGGAAAGAGATACGTCACCAGCAGATTTCCTTCTGTTTGGGGAGATATTCAGATGCTGAGAATTAAACCAACTTCAGATTTTTTTTTCTTTACTCAAAGGCTGTCAGAAATTAAGCAAGAAAAACTACTAAGAAATTCAATCCTGGTTTTTGTTTTGTTTTCATAGGTTATTGGGGAACAGGTGGTGTTTGGTTACATGAGTAAGTTTGTAGTAGTGATTTGTGAGATTTTGGTGTACCCATCACCTGAGCAGTATACACTGCACACAATTTGTAGTATTTTATCCCTCTCCCCCTTTTCTCTCTTTCCCTTTGAGCCCCTAAAGTCCACTGTGTCATTTTTATGCCTTTGCATCCTCATAACTTAGTTCCCACTTATGAGTGAGAACAAGCAATGTTCGACTTTCCATTCCTGGGTTACTTTGCTTAGAATAATGGTTTCCAATCTCATTCAGGTTGCTGTGAATGCCATTAATGTATTTCTTTTTATAGCTGAGTAGTATTCCATCATATATACATACCACAGTTTCTTTATCCACTGGTTGATTGATGGGCATTTGGGCTGGTTTCACATTTTTGCAGTTGCAAATTGTGCTGCTATAAACATGCATGTCCAAGTATCTTTTTCATATAATGACTTCAAGAATCACATTTTCCAACAATTCAGACTTGTGGCCACGTCCTCTCCTAGGGAGTCCCTGGAATGTAGCCATTAATGGACAGAGTTGCACACCCTTGCAAGCATCTTAGACCAAACAGGCAATGAGGGAAGGTTCATCTTCCACCACTGGGGAGGAACAAGAGCTTGGGAAGCAGAGTGTTTTGGACACAGAATTATGACTGCTTTTCAGAAGTATTGAATTGAGAAATAAATAACTATTAGGAAATATAAATAAATAAGTCCTATTTTTGCTTACTCTGTGTGGTATTTGGCCTCACCAATGTTTAGGCCTCCTAAATAAACAGCAGAAATGTGGTATGGCTTTTTGCCAGAGGATGCAGTCCAAATGTAATAAAACACACAGTTTCTTTGCTAGGCTGGAGTCAATACATTACTTCATTTTCTTTTTTTTAAGAGGTCGGTATGAGTATCATCTATTGATTGTAGCTTCACGTATGAGATTGAAGGTTCTAGCCTGTTAACAAAATAAAAACACTGCCAAACAAAGCAAAGCAAAATGTCCACATTCCTCTATTGTCAAAAGAATCAAATCATTCTGTGCATCAGAGAAGCTATGCCTGGGGTTTACTTAGGAGCATGTACATGGACGTTTGCAAAGAGATTAAATGTGGTGCCCTCAGGAGGCCAAAAGTCACCTTGGAAAGAACATCAGGTTGAGAGTCAGAGACTGCTTGCTTCATGCCAGGGCCACCTACACCAACGGAGGAGAAACCACCACTACCACGGCGGGAAACTCAGCACAGGAAGCCTCATTGCTCCGGTGGGACATATAGTGTCCTCCTCAACTATGAAGATAGCATAGCGATTTCTCGAGGCCCATTGCATTATTTAAAAAATGCATAAAAACAACATGCCAGGCTGATTGACAACAGTGGACAACTTCATTCAATCAATAGATATTACCTCAAGTACACTTGGTATAGACTCAGATAGTATATGAGAAAAATAGTTTCATTTGCAAAGCTCCTAGTTTCAAATCCAGGCTTAATTCTGTGGCCACAGTCAATATCATTATAAGCTTTCAGTGGAATTTAATTTGGATATCCTTATGGTACAATCAGGAGTTTACAGCCATTCTGTAATTTCCTAACTGTGTGATTTGAGAACACACAATCTGGTGGGATGGTGGATGTGACGGTTAATATTGAGTGTCAACTTGACTGAAGAATGCAAAGTATTGTTCCTGTGTGTGTCTGTGAGGGTGTTGCCAAAGGAGATTAACATTTGAGTCAGTGGACTGAGAGAGGCAGACCCACCCTCAATCTGGGTGGGCACCATCTAATCAGCTGCCAATATGGTTATAATAGAAACAGGCAGAAGAACATAGAAGCAGTAGACTGCCTGATTCTTCTGGCCTCCATCTTTCTCCTGTGCTGGGTGCTTCCTGCTCTTGAACATTGGACTCCAAGTTCTTCAGCTTTGGACTCTTGAACTTACACCAGTGGTTTGCCAGGGGCTGTCTGGCCTTAGGCCACAGACTAAAGGCTGCACTGTCTGCTTCCCGGCTTTGGAGGTCTTGGGACTCAAACTGGCTTCCTTACTCCTCAGCTTGCAGACGGCCTGTTGTGGGACTTCACCTTCTGATCATGTGAGTCAATTCTCTTTAATAAACTCGTTTTCACACACGCATCTATCCTATCAGTCCTGTCCCTCTAGGGAACCCTGACTGATACCCTGGAGATGGCAGGGCAGCCATCTTGCATGCTGCGTCATTTTCCGGTCACCCTCTGTTAACTTGGACAGAGGAGTATTGTCTTTCTACATATTTATGTATCCAAAGAGGATGTGTAAAGATTCATTTACTTAGTAACAGAATGCTAATACAGAAAAAGAGGGCAAACACATATATTAATTACTTAGAAAAAAATAAACCTATACGCCTAGGAATGAACACCACCATTATAAAAACTCATTACTTTCAGTTGCCCCCTTTTAATAATGTGTATTGTAAAGTATTTGCGTCATTAAAATGACACCGAACTGGAATAGAAGCAGAATGGTGGATTTGAATGGCTAATTATTATCTCAGAGGCAAAACACAAATGGCTCAAATTGTAAATATTCTCCAAGTAAAATTATTATAGAAATGCCCATGGTAATTAAGCAATATTTTCATTAACCAATAGCCTGCAAAAGCTGATTAGCTTGATTAAAGACTCATATATCTAACTTAGTAAATGATATATTCACATGTCAGAAGATTACATTGTAGTTTTTTAAAAGCCTGGCAAATTCAAAACAAGAATTGAAAGAAAAAGTGAAAGAAAACTACTTCTTCAAGGTAGCATTACTTAAAACAAAAGTAACTCTGAGTTACTTAACCAGAAAAATTATATCCTAGTAACTTTGTTGCACGGTATTATAATTAGACAATGTGATCTTGGTTGAGCACCAAAATGGTCTCTTCTTAGATGCTCTCATGATCTGGAATTGTTTTCAGAATAACAGGAAAAGGGAGGAAAGTTGAGCTGAAAAACCCATCTGCTTCTAATTCAAAATTCCCAATAAACTCTTGTGCATCAACTCCAAAAAAAGAAAGCCAAATTAAAACGTTACTAATTTGAGGGAGCAAATGGAAAGACACTCTGAAAGATGAAGTCTCCTTTCTTTTAGAATGCCACTTTCTCATCGTTACTGGAGATCCCGTTGCCGTGTGTCTGGCTGATGTGGGGAGGTCCAGAGACTGTTTTTAAATTAAACATGCAGTTTGTCAGGGAAATGCATCTTTCCTAATTGCTTGTTAAAAATATATCTAACCTGGAATAAAGAACCTTTTCACTAGGCATCACATTTCGAATTTTTTGTTTCATCAGTATTTTAAGCGTCTCCTGATTGCCTGCTTTTGAGAGGCACTCACTGAATGCTCTGTTTGTGGGTCTGCCCTCATGGCTCTGCGTTGAGGCCTGTTGCTAACCATCTGTCTGGGCTCAGTCTCCGGGCTGCCCTTGTGCTAGAGTTGTTTCCTAATTTTGCTGTGGGGTGGGAGAATGCGGGGAACGAGATTAACTCAGAAACTCACCAGAAAATGAAAGTTTCTTTGGTTGCCGACGCTTTGCTGTGATCTCTTGAAAATCCGGTTTTATGCAATATTCCACCATGCACAGAGCAAAGAGAAAGATGTCTTTCTTCACTACAGCTTGTAGCTTTTTTCAGCCTAACTTAATACTTAAGTGTCTTGGTAGATACATGGGATTTCAAAATACTGGCGTATTAGCATGGCGATGTGGTTCTCAGCATGACATATATGTTCTATCTATCTATCTATGCATAATATAGATTTATATATATATTCTCTAGTGAACACTAATTGTAGAGATGGAGAAAACAGCCAAGAATTAAATATGCAAGCCAGAAAGTAAGACAAAATCAAACAAACTTACAAACATAAACCACTTCGGGTTCAGTAGCACAGCAGTACTGAATTTTTAAAGAGTTTGTATCTACATTGGGAAAAGAAAGAGGTCTGAGTGTTATAATGAACCTTGGGTTCTTCGGTGAATTAAAGAGTAAATTGTATTTTAAATTATAATTGAAAAATGAATATTTAGACAATATCCCTGAAGAGCTTAAATGCATATGAAAGGGCTAGGTTTTATAAATAAAACACAATATAGACTGGCTTTTGCAGGGCTCAAGTCCAGTTGATATAGTTGAAGTCAAAATAAAATATAGAGACAAGTCTCTGGATTGAATGTTTTATTTGGCAATCACAGCACTGCAAGTCAGGGTATCAAGGTCAACTGGGTGGTCTTCAGGATGCCCCAAGAACAAAGGGGAGGCTGGGGATTTATTAGAAAGAGAAGTGTTACCTACTGTTTTGAAACGAAGCTCACTGGCACTAGAGATGCTTTGGGGAGCTGGCAAGTTCTGATAAGTGAGCAATAGGTCACAGGTCATCTCAGCAGCTACCAGGTAAAGCTGGTCTCAGCCACGCTTGTGTAAAATGCAATTCTAGGAGCAGGTGCTATTTACCCTGAGTGTTTCCCCCCCAGCCCTCGACTCTGATTTAGTTTGGAATGATATGAATGACCCAGCTTGTATAATGAGCTTTCACATCATTTCACGCACAATGGTGTTGGGAAAGTTCAATTATAACAGGGGTCATTACTGAGTAAAAGTTCAAATGCCAGATGCTACTGGTGGGTTCGAGTGTCCACAACAGAGCCATGTCCATGAAAACCCCAACACTATAGGGCAAAAATAGACCCAGTGCTAGCCTAACTCCCCCAGGACTGGCATGTTGAGTTCTACTGTCACTTAAAATAATATCCTAATATCTTCCTGATCATAAAATAATACATTCATTTTTAAAAACGTAGGAAAAAGAAACTAGTATAAGGATAAAAATAAAAGTCACCATAATTATTTTTACCAGGATACTAATAATATTCACATATATTTCTTCTCATTTTTATATCTATTTCTAAATACCTACAGATGTATGTGAACACAGTTTTAAGAAAATTCAATCTATTCTGCATCACACTTTGATTTTCTACTTTTTCTTTCTTTTTTTTTTTTTTGAGATGGAGTCTCAATCTGTCACCCAGGCTGGAGTGCACGATCTCCGCTCACTGCAAACTCCGCCTCCCGGGTCCAAGCAATTCTCTGTCTCAGCCTCTTGAGTAGCTGGGATTATAGGCAACCGCCACCAGGCCTGGCTAATTTTTTTTGTATTTTTAGTAGAGACGGGGTTTCACCATCTTGGCCAGGCTGGTGTTGAATTCCTGATCTTGTGATCCACCCGCCTCAGCCTCCCAATACTTCTTCTTTCTTAATAGTATAACATCATTAATTTTTTAGATTATTTTATTTGAATGCAATGACCATAGAATATACTATAGTTTTACTATTATTATTACACATAAGAAATATACTATTTAAAACATTTAAAGTATTTTGATATAAATTGTACTACAAGGAATTTTTTTAAAATACAGATAGATATAGATGTAAGTATAGCTATATCTGTGATAAATGTCCAGAAGAGAAGTTGATAGAAATGAATTAGGAGGAAAAATATTGCACTTTAATAAAATGTGGATGATTACATATATTCACTGAAAGCTTGATTAAAAATGCATAACAGAAGAAAATAGCTAACAAATTGTTAAGAATAAAACCTCAAGAAAAAAAAATCCATTGTCTGATTTTGCTGACACTGACCTTGTATTATTAATACTTAAGTCCAATTTGTTGCCTGAGTGGGCAGTGTTAAACTAGGAGCCAGCAACTCTTGGTAAGAATTTCTGTGATGAAATACCACATGAAATATAACATGAAATGTCAGTGATAATGTTTCAGAAATTAACTCAGGAATTAGCAGGTACTTGCACAAACTTGAGGGATCAGCAAGAGCGCATAATATCGATGCCAGGCTTTCTTTCACCTTCTCCATTTACAACCAATTAGTGCAATTTTGAATTTATAAAATGTAATTGAAACACATTCAAAATTCCTTCAGGAAAATAGTACATACACTTTCCAATGTCCACCCCCTCCTTTCTGTTGTCAAATGGCAATAAATGTCATGTAATGTCTTCCTGTTTTTTATTTATTTGGAATAAAATTAATTTTTTGCTTTTTCTTCTAAATTGTTTTCTAATTTACACAAGGCACAGAATGACTCTGAATCAAGATTGGCTGCATTTCCACTTCAAATTGTACAATGTAGAAGACATTGTGTGCATTGCACAGAAAACATGAGTCAATGATAGAGTGTTATCTTCCATATAATACAAAAATATTTTTATAACATAAGTAATGTCATCCCAAGTAGCATCTTCCGTATAAAAATGCTAAAACTGGCAATGTGTTTTGAAGGTTTCTGGCATTTATATTATATTTGTGTAAGATATTGCTGAATACCACATTTCATTTTCTTCTTTCTAAACTTTAACAGATAATCCTGTTTTCAAAACAAACTATCTACACATATTTCCATTAGTGAAATAGGACTCATCTTCTGTGAAATCCAACTTTAATTATAATCATCAAATACATATTATTTTAATGTTTTTAAAACGTAAGAAAAAGCATGCTTTACTTCAAAATCAGCAATGCATAGAGATTTTTAATTTTTCTTTCATTTTTATAAAAATCAGTTGCATATTTGAAAGCAATTCGTAAGCCCTATGGGTTTTTTGGAAAGCGCTTTTATGATTGTTGTAAGAAAATGTTCTCCATGTCAGTAACAAATGGCTGTCATGGAATTTTGGCAGCAAATGTTTCAGCCGTCCACATGAAATGGAGGAATATTTCTCCACTGAGATTAGTTTCTGTTATACTGTGTTACTGGAGAGAATGATAATGGAATTTCTCTTCTGGGCTTGTCATGGATAAAATATTGTATCCATTCTATCACATGAAAGGGAGGAGTAAGATTAGACAGTATTTAAAGAGAGTGGCTTCCAGGATGGAGTCTTCCAAGGAAAATGCAGGGTTCCTGGTGATGCTTTAAAAAGGGATCTTATTGGAAGGCAGCTCTGTCTCACCTCTCAGGACAGTGTTTTTACAGTAAACCTGGAGACATTTAGTGTTAAATGACAAAATGTCAAATAATATGGCCACAGATCCATAGATTCAGGTCGAATTCTCCCCCAAAAGAAAACAACATACTTATACAGGGACAAGCATGACCATACAATTAATATGTAATCATTATGAAGGTTTAAAAAGGGGATTAATTGTATTTAGCCAACAATGATGAAAGGTGACCCCAACATCTTGACTCTGGCTTGCTTTCTCTCCAACCTGGTGAACGCTTCATCTTAGAGGAGCACAGTAGGTCTGCACCGCCCTGTCCCAGACTAAGTGGGGGTGACTTTGGACACTGGGCATGTGGTTCTTGGAGAGATGACATGTCACAGCAGGCTCAGTTGGTTCCAGGTATATACACACATGTGCGTGTACATACACATGTACACGCACATGTGCACCTATACACACAAATATGTGCACATACACTTGTGTACACACATATACACACAAGTATGTGCACATATGCACATGCTCACACATCCACATATATACACAAATATATGCACATACACATATGCACATACACACACATCCACACATATACTCACAAATATGTGCACTTACACATGTACACACATATACTCACAAGTATGTGCACATATGCACTTGCACACACTCATGCACACATGTACACACAAGAATTGCACATAGCCACATGCACACACTCATGCACACATGTACACACAAGTATTGCACATAGCCACATGCACACACTCATGCACACATGTACACACAAGTATTGCACATAGCCACATGCACACACTAATGCACACATGTACACACAAGTATTGCACTTAGCCACATGCACACAAAGACAGGCAGGCCATTTCATGCCACCTTCTTCTAGACTGTCAAGGACACAGTTATTTTTTTTTCATCCAGTTTGGCTTCTTCATCAAAATATTTTTAACAAAAAATTCATGATTCATCTTTTTTAAGTTTCTTTTTTTAAAAAAATTTCAGTTCCCCATTCACTTTAATCTGGTGATTTTTCAGAAACGAATGAACTAGCCACACTGCATCTCCTCTCATGCCAATTGTCCTTGGAGTCTTTTTTTTTTTTTAGAGAAGGAGTCTCACTTTGTCTCCCAGGCTGGAGTACAATGGCACAATCTCGGCTCACTGCAACCTCCGCCTCCTGGGTTCAAGTGATTCTCCTGCCTCAACCTCCCGAGTAGCTGCGATTACAGGCACATGCAGTGATGCCTGACTAATTCTTGTATTTTTAGTAGAGATGAGGTTTCACCATGTTGGCCAGGCTGGTCTCGAATCCCTGACCTCAAGTGATCTGCCCGCCTGGACCTCCCAAAGTGCTGGGATTACAGGCGTGAGCCACCGCGCCCAGCAGTCCTTGGAGTCTTTGATCTGTGCACTAAAGAACTGGCAAAGCCAATAATGTTCTCTCTCCCTTTGAGGATAAGAATTCTTTGGTCCACCCAGAATTTGTGTGGTCTTGCAGCTTCTAAAAACAAGTGGGAGGAAGAACAATGAAAACCTAGACACTGCTGTTTACCAAGTGTTCTTTGAATAGCATCCTGATTGGCTGCACACTGGTTTAACTTTCCCTCTTTGAAACTTCTGCTTCTGAATCACCAAAATAACAACCCGAACTTGGTGTTCTAGGGCCCAGCAGCAGCCTGAAGCCCTGGCCACTGTCTGTTCCCCTTCTTATTCCACATTTCTCTGTCTCCCTCACACCATCTGCTGAACTCGAGTCTGAGGGGACACTTATTTCTAAACCCAAGTCATGTCTATGGTAACAGAAGAAGCTGAGCAGGGGCCAGCTGAAGCTGTTGTCACTCATTCCTCTCAAGGCTGGGGTCCCTCATCTCCCTGTCCTACCTTCTATGGGTGTAAGGTTGCAACTCAGGCCCACATGGAGGTCTGTGGAATAATCTTGGATGTCCTCCTCCAACCCTCAGCTGTCAGGTGGCCTGAGCTGCTCCAGGCCAGTGGTTCTCAACCTTGACAGCCCGCTATAATCCCAATGTCCAAGCCACACCAAGACAGGGACAGGACACATGTGTCTGCACTTTGTTGTCAGCGTCTACACATGCCAGCTCTGGAGTCAGACAGGCCTAACTTTAAATTCATGCTCTGTCACTTCTGAGCAAGCAGCAACTTCTGTCATGATGCAATTATTCTCTATGAAAGTGGTTCTACCACCTTAAAAATGGAAAGATTAACTCACGAGTTTATAAATAACAAGGCTTAAAACAATCCAAAATATAAAAAACCGAAAATGAGAGAGAATGGATGGGGAGATATATTTTAAAATACCAGTGTATGTAAGCGGGGTTTCCATAAATTCAATCTAACCATGGACATATTCAAAGGCACATGGACTTGTAGGAACATTTTCTAGAAAGTTTAAGTGCAGAATACGTGAAGCCTGTCAGAAAGTTTAACAGCACACACACAAACACAACAAAACATACTTGTTGTTTTCACTGGGTTTTTGACAAAATCATTTTGGGCAAGGCGTGAAGGTGACATGGGGCAGACAGAAAACAAAATTGCTCTGTTCCACGGTTTTTAAATCTTCTTCACCAGAGAGAATAACCTCCCCAATTGGGAGAGGTGAGGTTAACCTGTTCACATGGGCTGGATCAGGGCTTGCACGTCAATGTTTCCAGAAACACAAGGCCCTGTGCTGCCTCGGGAACCTCCACGTGTGCAGGAAACTGACGATTCTTTGGGAAAGGAAGAAGTGCCACAGACTGGCTGTTTTCCTGATTTTCACGGAGAAATTCTGGTGTTGAGCCTGGACAAAATTCTACAGCAGTTTATGACGCACATACAATAATTTATTGAGGTTTGCAAAAAACAGAAGGTTTTGCTAAGAATGTATGTAGAATGATCACTCTTTTGAGATCGCAATACCAGGCATGCAGCATCATCTCTCCTTCTTTTTTTTTTTTTTTTGTTTTGTTTTGAGATGGTCTCGCTCTGTCACCCAGACTGGAGTGCACTGGTGCGATCTCAGCTCACCGCAACCTCCGCCTCCGAGGTTCCAGCCACTCTCCCACCTCAGCCTCCCCAGCAACTGGGATTACAGGAGCATGCCACTATGCCTGGCTTTTTTTTTTTTTTTTTGAAGCGGCACTTTTTTTTTTTAGTAGACGGAGGGTTTCACCATGTTGGCCAGGCTGGTCTCCAACTCCTGACCTCAAGTGATCGCCGGCTTTGGCCTCCCAAAATGCTGGGACTACAGGCGTGAGCCACTGCGCCTGGCCAACATCATCTGGTAAGCATATTTTTCTTAGATCCTACATGGTGGTTAGCTCAGATTCAAGGCATATGGGCGTGGTGCCTGGCCGCCCTCTGTTGGCAGAAACCAGTGAGAGGGAAGGAAGAGGCTCTGTTGGAGTGACATGGATCTTACAATCCCAGGGTGACCCCTGCCTGGAGGCTGCCTTGTGTCAAAGTGCTCTGATTTGGTTCGGGTACAGGGTACCATGAGTGTCCGGGATGGCAATGACTAGGCTATCACAGCAGGGCAATCTCCAGAGGAAAGTGTCTCAGGAAGGAGATAGCATGGCCACACTTTAGGAGGCTGGGGAGAGGACGTTTCCCCTGGGTGCAGTGATGTGAAAAGGGCTGGTAAAATCAGAAAGAGCCATATTCCGGGGGGCACAGCAGGAAGGCGCCTCTGGACAGGAGATGGACAAGAGGACACTTCCCAGCGACGATGGCAGAAGGAAAGCAGGTGTCGACTTTTTCTCTCGTCTGAAGCAAAAGAAACAATTATGAAGGGATTTTGTTGAAGACACAAACCTGTAATGAAAGGGATAACGCAAAAGGTAAAAACATCATCACACTTAAAAAAAAATTCGTAAGGTAAAAACATTGGCACACTTCAAAAACATGGTGAAATTTTTATAGATTTAAGGGGTACAAGTGCAGATTTCTTCAAAAAAAATCTTAAAAAGAAAACATGGTGGTTGTGCAAAACATAAACCCACAGAGAAAACATGAACCTGCAGTTTTAGAGAAAACATAAATCTGAAGAATAGAGAAACATATTTGGAAGCTATGCATCCAACAAAGGTCCAATCTAATCTCTAGAATCTACAAGTAACTCAACTCTACAAGAAAAAAAGCAAATAACCTGATTAAAAATTGGGCAAAGGACATGAACAGACATTTTTCACTGCACGGCAGTGAAGCCTGGGCTTTCATTGTACCCATCACCCGAATAGTGTATGTTGTACTCAGTAGGTAATTTTTCAACTCACACTCCCGAAGCCTTCTACATTTTGGAGTCTCCAGTGTCTATTATTCCACCCTGTAGGTGCATGTGTACCCACTGTTTAGCTCCCACTTAAGTGTGAGAACATGTAGTATTTGACTTTATTTCTAAGTTATTTCACCTAGGACAATGGCCTCCAGTTCCATCCCTGTTGCTACAAAAGACAATTTCATTCTTTTCATGGCTGAGTAGTATTCCATGGTATATATACACCACATTTTCTTTATCCAGTTATCCAATGGTGGACAGTTAAGTCAATTTCCTATCTTTGCTATTGTGAATAGTGCTGCAATAAACACATGAGGGCAGCTCTCTTTTTGATATAACGATTTCTTTCCCTTTGGTAGATACCCAGGAGTAAAGTCGCTGGAATGAATGTAGTTCTACTTTTAATTCTTTGAGAAATCTCCATGCTGTTTCCCTTAGAGGTTATTCTAATTTACATTCCCACCAATGGTGTATAAGGGTTTGTTTGCTCCACATTCTTGCCAACATTGGTTTTAGAAATTTTTAAGAATAGCCCTTATAACTGGTGTAAGATGGTGTCACATTTTTGGTTTTAATATGAATTTCTCTGATGATTAGTGATGTTGAGCTTTTTTTCATAGGTTTATTGATTACATGAATGCCTTCTTTTGAAAAATGTCTGTTCATATTCTTTGCCCAATTTTTAATTAGGTTATTTGCTTTTTTTCTTGTGGAGTTGAGTTCCTTGTAAATTCTGGAGATTAGATTAGACCTTTGTTGGATGTATAGTTTGCAAATATGTTTCTTCATTTTGCAGGTTTACGTTTTAGCTATTGATTATTATTATTATTATTATTATTATTACTATTATTTTGCTGTGGTTAGTTTAATTAAGTCCTATTTGTCTATTTTTGTTTTGTTGTATTTGCTTTTGAAGACATGGTCATAAATTCTTTGCCTAGGCCAATGTTCAGAATAGTTTTTTCTGGGTTGTCTCCTGGGACTTTTGTAGTTTGAGGACTGATATTTAAGTCTTTAATTTATCTTGAGTTAATTTATGTATATGATGGGAGGTCTGAGTCTACTTTCATTCATCTGCATGTGGCTATCTAATTTTCCCTACACCATTTATTGAATAGGATGTCATTTCCCCAATGTACATTTTTGTTGACTTTGTTGAAGATCAGTTGGGTATGTGGCTTCATTCTTGCTTCTCTGTTCTGTTTCACTGATCCATGTGTCTATTTTTATAACAGTGCCACACTGTTTTAGTTACTATAGCCTTGTAGTATAATTTAAAGTCAGGTCATATAATGTCTCCAGCTTTGGTCTTTTTGCTTAGGGTTGCTTTGGCTATTCAGCCTCTTTTTTGAGTGCATATGAATTTTAAGATTTTTTTTTCTAATTCTGTCAGTACACTTTTAAAAGCTGCAAAGCAGATGTATGACAGTAACTACTGACCCAGAGAAACAGAATCCAAGCCTGGATGTGAGGAAATATTTAGCTAATTATTTATTTAATTATGGTCAGAAAACAAGGAATCACCTAATAACTGAGAAAAGACTCTAACATGAAAGTAACTGAATCCAAAACAAAAACAAAATTGCAAACAATAGCAAAGGAAAATCACTTGAAAGAAATAGGATTATGCAAGGAGAAGAAAATTTCAAGAGTATAAGCAAAGGAAAATTATTAATATACTTGGGGATAAAAAAAGTATTGCATCTGTGAAGCAAGAATATGGGCATTATATTACATACAAATGAAATATCCAGAGACCAAAAAATAGCACTTAGGAATTAAAAACATGATATAAAACAGATAAGAGAATGTTTGGAACTTATGTTGAAGAAATACACCAGAAAGAACAGCTATACAGAAGAAAAAGAGGTCCAAGAAGAGAAAAAAGATTTAAAAAAGAAAAAAGGTATAGAAATCTAGAGTGCAAAATTGAAAAGAGAAGCATAATCTTTCATCAATAATAATCATAATTAATAACTGAAATAAATAAAAATAAAAGACCTCTAGGATTATCTAGAAATGGAGTAGTGGCTTCCTCAACAAATGAAGCCAATTTCAGATAATGGAGAGTTCTGATTCTGGGCACCGAAGAGGAGAAGGACAGCTTCCACCCTGGTTTTACTTTTCCTCAGTTTCTCTGCTACCAACTCAGTGATGGACACACATTTTCACCACTGATTTCAGTGGCTTTTGGAAGTTAAGGAATACACTGCTTTAAATTGTTCTGCAATTATAAACTAATTGGAAGTAAGGGCCTGAACTTCTAGCTCACTTCATGTTGACACCTGTTTTGCATACACTTTGACTGTAACTCACCCACATAACCCTTTGACCAGCTGAAAAAATGTCATGCCCCATCACTCTTCTAGTTTCAGGAGCGAAAAAAAGAAGGTTTTTTTGGATAGTGATAGCCTTTATTTTAGCAACAAGTCCAGCCACTCTCTTCTTACAAATGAGCAGACCTCGCCCACTAAAACACGAGGAGCTGGTTTATCAGCAAGACTCAAGCCTTTCCTCGCCCCCGGACTTCAGCTGCACTGCCTGCCCTAGGACATCTAGGGCCTTGTTGAGTTCTTGCTTCCCAGCAGGCAAATTTCTGCCATTTTTCTCAGCACACCCATAAACCTTGAAATTCCTCTCTGTGCACAGCCAGAAATAATATTCATTGAGAGGCAGGCAAAGCCAGTTAGACCTGCTGGCTCTCTCACCTTGCCCTTCTTAAGGGACAAGCAGGTGGATTATATCAAGTCATGAAGGAAAATCACAAACCCTGTATTGAATTTTTTAAAAAATACCTTTTGCTTACGAACTAATTCTGCATTTGCTGCCTAAAGAAAATGTAAAGCCTTCCTTAGGCAAGACACTGCTAGTACCACAGTGAATTACAAAGTAGATAATTAAACAGTCTCTTGCTTTCACCAGCTTTCCCTAATAAGAGTCAAAAGCATACACACTGGCAAACACAAAAAGTTCTACAACTAAAGCCCCTGTTGAGACTCTGTCCATCCACGAATGTCCCTGAGTAACAGTAACAGGAATGTCCTAGGGGGCAAATTTGACTCCACACCTGCACCATTGCCTGGGGCTCATGCTTGCCAATTTTGGGTTAGCGGATCTGCTTACTCATCATCTCATTATAGCTAACACCAATGGCACATTTCAGGCACCATGGTGCCCCTGTGCTCCTCTGCTTAATTTTCCAACACTGAGACAGCAGCTTTCTTCCTCTCTATGCCCAGGTGAGAATCTGGAAGTGCAGATAATTTGCATAGACTGTCCCAGGTCAAACAGGATGGACCAAGGCAGGGAGAAACCCCGATCTCTAGGAGCCCATGCCTTCATCATGAATGTGTGTTACAGGACAGTTCACTCCTTCGTGTTGTGTAAGGACATAGAGAAAGGAGGAAGGCAAAGAATTCCAAGGGAGGAGAATTTGTAGAAAGCTGCAAGGTTTGTAGATGTTATTTTACCTTTTTGTTTCTTAAGAAAATGTTTGCCCTGTCTCAGTCTTGTAGATAGACTGCAAGCTCACGAGATAGTATGTTTATTTCTTGATACGAGAGATGATTCCGTGCTATCACATGATCCTTAAACCCTAGAGGCTCAACAGAATCAAGACTTTTTTTCACACATTCTACCTTTGCAACATGCAGAGGAGGGCCCAGCTCCATCCCTCAAGTGTTTTGTTCCACCCTCCAGAGCAGAAGGCCTTGAAGACACTGGTCAAACAGGGGTCAAATGTGCAGAGTAAACCCAGACTCATCTTAAAATTCCCCTTGGGTTCAGCCCACAAGTAGCACATGTCACTTGCATTCACAGCACATTGGCCAGAAATTGTCACATGTCCTCACCTAAGGCTCAGTGGGCTGGGAAATGGAGAGAAACGTGGCTGTTGTATAGGCAGTGAATAGACTTTTACTTGCTTACTATGGACCATGCATTCTATGGTCTTTTAAATACTAATTCATTTATTTCTCATGTCAACCTCTAAAGGGTTGCTATCAAGTCTTTTTTTTTTTTTTTTTTTTTTGAGATGGAGTCTCACTCTGTCACCAGGCTGCAATGCAGTGGTGCGATCTCAGCTCACTGCAATCTCCGACTCCCTGGTTCAAGCGATTCTCCTGCCTCAGCCTCCTGAGTAGCTGAGATTACAGGTACGTGCCACCACGCCAGCTAATTTTTTTTTTTTTTGTATTTTTAGTAGAGACAGTGTTTCACCATGTTGGCCAGGATGGTCTCGATCTCCTGACCTTGTGATCTGCCCACCTCGGCCTCCCAAAGTGCTGGATTACAGGCATGAGCCACTAGCGTTGCTATCAAATCTTAAAATGCATAAAAGACCAAGAGATGAAATTTCTTCCACATAACTGGAATGGAGAAGGGCACACCAAAGTCACGGTTCATCTGAATTAATGAGAAGCCTAAATTATAGGATCCTACAAGTCTACCAGCAGCAGCTAGGGGCACTGGGCAGATCAGGGTGACCTGCAATGGCCCCATCAATTGCACTTGAATGCGGGTGGGCCCCAGGTCTGCATTCCTCTCCTGCACCCCTCATTTGCATGCATGGCTCACAGAGTGAAGGAAACTGCTGCAGGTCACTCCCTAATTATCACAGGTTCTAAGTCAGGAGAATGTTAATGACTGTATAGGTCTTCACGGTGCCTAGGTGTTTTCCCTTCTGTTTGGTCTCAATCTAATCAATCTTAAAAGTGTTATCAGGTTACCCTATTACAGATATCAGTCATTTTGTTCACTGTTTTATTAGTTAGGAGTCTTTGTGTGCAGGCAACAGAAACAAACTTTTAGCTTAGAATGAGAGTTTGTTGTAAGGACTTGGGGTGTCTCATGGAACCAAGGAATAGGAATGCAGGGGAACTACAGGAAGAAACTGGAACCGGGGCTCTGCTTCCCATGCACATTTCTCTCTGTACGTGGCTCTCTCTCTTTTTCTTTTTCTCGTGCCCTTTCTTTCTTTCTCTCCTCTTTCCTGTCCTCTATCTGTTATCTATCATCTCTCAATCCATCCATCTATCCATCTCTCTTTCTGTCTCTCTCCATCTATCCATCTAATGTCCTATTTTGTTACTCCATATAACAGGATCTGGCAGCCTCTTAATTCCCAATTGTTTGTCTATTACAGTTCTAACCCTTCAATGATAAAGACTGAATTCCAAATCAAAGAGTGAGAGGACGATAGCCCAGCTTCGAGAAGGTGTCTGTCCCTGACCTACTCAGCCATGGCCAACCTGTGGGATGACTGCTACGGAGATGGGTGTCAGAGGCCTGTCCCTCAGATGGGGAAGGACCTCACTTTCTTTTGGTGAAAATTAAATGAAGCATCATTTGGGTAAAACCTCCACACAGTCCCTATGTTGGGGGGTGCTCTCTCAGTGTTAGATTTTCTACTTCCTACTTGACTGCCTTCTCCCGCTTCCTGTCCTTCTGTTTGTTAATCATTATTTTATAGTTACCAATACAATAACTGAAGTTTCTTGGGTGTCTTTAATTTGCTTCTAGATGGCAGACTAAGTACTAGAGGAAGACAGCAGCCATTTGGAGAACTGAGCGACATCAGCAACAAATAGGAGCAAAAGCAAATTAAATCCTTCATTTTAAAAATGTAATGATATAATTAAAACAAGGAACCATAACCAATTGTTAATAGATGCCAGAAATAGATATTTCACTCAGAGCAATATTTTTTCCCCAAAACAAACAAAGCCTTGGCTGGCAACAGTAGCATATTCCTTTTCTATCTAGACCAGTGGTTTCTGGCCAGCCTGGCCATCCTTTTGCCAGATTTCCGTTTCTTCTGCGACAGAAGCCCCTGGGATGGCAGTGCTTCCACACTCAGAGCTGAGCTCACCGTAAAGCTGTTCATCTCCAGGAGTCTGGGATCCAAATTGCTTCCTGTAACCACCAACAGCTCTACCAGAAATGACCTGGAAGCCTTTTGATTCTCTGAGTCCTGGAAAGCCCAGTGACCCTGTTGCCTCCCATCCTTGTCCACGCCTTCTGCAGATGTTCATCCTGAAGCCCTTTCCCTCGGGGTGTGACCTGCGCTTCCCAGGCTATTGACTTCCAGTCATCTAGAGTGTGTATCCCTCGGATCCGTGACCCACACTCCCATGCAATGGTGTTCCAGGCATCTGGAGTGCGTATTCCGCTCCATCTTCAGGTATAAATGGAGACCTAGACAAGGGCCACACCACTGTCTGCTCCCCTGAAGATTCCTGACCCCATCTCATGGTCAATTCTTGCAGTGAGAGCAGGAGTTTATTACCTTTGCCATTAAGGAGCAAATGTTTCTACCACTCCCTCTAAACCCCATCTTATCTGGAGTACAGAATCTATATACTTTGTAATGCATCATTTCAGCCTCGGCTTTTTTAACTCTCAAAGCTGCTCCTTTTCTTGTTTTTATATATCAAACCTTCTTTTAAACAATTAAAAATTGTAAGACAAGAATAGCCTTCACACTGAATAGAAGAAGAGGTGAAGAAGTATAGTCACTTGACAAGCCGCCATCAGCACTTCACACAATAGAGGTGACACAAGACCACAGGAGGTAATATCAATACACAAGAACTCTTCTGAAGAATTTGCAGATGGAACCACTTACAATTCCTGGGAATAAAAGGGTTGTGTCATGAAGCTTGGTGTCAGTGTGTTGTCAGGGCTAAGTCAATGGACACCAACCCAAAAAATCCTCATAGTGTATTTGCTGTTAAATAGGTTGTTCATTGGCAGGGAAAATAATGAGAACTTGGGGTGGGGACATAGCCCATTGGTCTGGCTGTCCTTGGAGGCAAGTGTAATAATGGGAGTGATTTCTCTGGGTGGCACCTCCCAGAGTGGGCTGCGTTGATCTGATTCTAAACTCATAGTCAAGTCTCCTGAATTAGAACACTCTTCCTTTCAGAAGTATAAATATTTCAAAATACACCCCCCTTTTTTTTTTTTGAGACGGAGCCTCGCTCTGTCGTCCAGGCTGGAGTGCAGTGGCGCAATCTCCACTCACTGCAAGCTCCGCCTCCGGAGTTCACGCCATTCTCCTGCCTCAGCCTCCCCAATAGCTGGGACCACAGGCGCCTGCCACCACACCCAGCTAATTTTTTTGTATTTTTAGTAGAGACGGGGTTTCACTGTGTTAGCCAGGATGGTCTCAATCTCCTGACCTCGTGATCCGCCCGCCTTGGCCTCCCAGAGTGCTGGGATTACAGGCGTGAGCCACCATGCCCGGCCAATACATCCTTTTTCACTTGAGCATTCATTTACCTTTTTTCTCATGTGCTGTATGTATTCTTCACTGATGCAGATTAGAGAGTTCATAAAAATGCATCATAGACCCATTTAAACTATATGATTAACTGCTAATATGTGATATTAAGTTGTAGGGTTTTATGGAGATGAGCACCTATAATTATATTTGATGGTATATGATAATTACCTGTTTGGTTGAATTTTAAACTATGATGACTTAAGAACATTCATCAATCCATATACGGCTCAAAGTCTGATATAAAATTACAACTCATTTTAATTGTTTTTTAAGTAATCAAACTGACATCTCTCATGACATAAAGCTTAAAAGAGACTGACTGATTTTATAGAGATGATGTTAATAACAGTGATTGGAATACTAATTGAAAAATACTTTTTAGAAAATGGGAAATTCTAATCAATATTTTCCAAATGGACTAATTAAGTGTGAATGGAATGTATCTACATTTCCAATAAAACATACAAAAATTCAGCTTGGGCCAGGCATAGTGGCTCATGCCTGTAATCCCACCACTTTGGGAGGCCAAGGTGGGTGGATCACCTGAGGCCAGGAGTTTGAGACCAGCCTAGCCAACATGGCGAAACCCTGTCTCTACTAAAACTACAAAAATTAGCCGGGTGTGGTGGCACGTGCCTGTAGTCCTAGTTACTCCGGAGGCTGAGGTATAAGAATCGCTTGAACCCAGGAGGCGGAGGTTGCAGTGAGCGAAGATCATGCCACTGCACTCCAACCTGGACAACAGAGTGAGACTCTGTTTCAAAAAAAAAAAAAATTCAGCTTGGATTCTTGTTCCTCTAGAAGACCAGAGCACAGAGACTTCCATGGAAAAGGTGTTGTTAATAATAGCAGCAGAGAAGTAAAACATTCACCACCTCCTTAGGAAAATCTTCACAACTTTCTTTAACTACTCAACCACACTCCTCCTTTTTCTTGTACCCTTTTTGGCCTTTTGGAAGCTGGCTCTCTCCCCTACCAAGTGATAGATTCCATCGTAGACACAAGATTCCTCATGTCACCTGACAACAAGCTCCATATCCCAATGGGTCCAGACACAATGTTTGCTGATGTTTAAATTGTCCTTGGGCCTTTGAAATATTCCTTGCCCCCATGGTTTCGCTGCTTCCTCCAATGACTCACCTCTTGATTAATCCTAAATGACAATAGGTGACATGCGGCTTGACCTAGGGTTCAAGTCTCCTTCAGCTTTGAGGTATACATACCTAAAATGTTGACACTTTGACCCCATAAATGGGGCAGGACCACATACAAAGATGAGACCTATGTAGAATCTGACCTTCAGGATTCTAGCACCCCAAATGCCTCACATTTGCAATTTGAACAAAGAGGAATGAGCAAATAGTGTGAGCAGACTGGCATGAGGAAGGCATCCTGCTATGTGCAGGGATGATGCAGGAAGACAGAGTTCATGCCAGAGCCGGCCTATGCGCCAGCTCAGAAGACACGGCTGCTAAGCTGCTGAGGTGGCAAGGGAGAAAAAGGTAACAAAAGGGTGGGGGTTGGAGGAAGGCCAGACAGAAAGCATACAGCACGCAGGGCCTGACATGTATATTATGTGCAGAGCAAATCTCACCGGAAAGATACACTTTCCGTATCCTTAGTTGTTTCTCTTCAATTCCTGCTGCAGTATATGTTTCATATAAGCTGATGAGAAATTTAGAAGATGGTAGCTCTAACAGAATAGACATGTTTTTTTTTTTTTTTTTTTGGTGAGGCTAGCACTATTTTGAGCTTAGTTAATAAAACAGAAATTTTAGTGTTTTTACAAAAACTTTACATTCTGTTTAAAAATGCATTGTTAGGCCACACACAAATAAATTATTTTCCGTTTGCACATGGACTGCCTTGCTAAAACAAAGTGAAATATAACAGTATGAAGGCAACTCTGTTGGAAAAAAAAAAAACTTAATGCTCAATTTTCTAATTATTACTACAATTAATCTTTCCTGCTACAATTTTAGAATACTAATAAAATTATTAAATTGAAGACTAGCTTCAACTGACAAAAGTGCTTAATGAGGAGGGTGCATAGATTTTATGTACATAATTGAAGTTTCAAGTTGAGGACTAATTTTCTAGTTAACCCTTCTGGGAGTTAAGAGACTCAATCATTTATACTCATTGAACAAATTCATGAGCCAAGAATCTAAGTGTTGATCTCCAAAAGAGGGGTGCAAATCAAAGATGAATAGGATATCCCAAACTCTGTTTAGAGCTCTTAAAAATGTACGTGATATTGTCATGCAATAAAACGAAAAAGATGATGTTATCTCAGGTCTAAGACAAGATCACTTAACATTAGAAATGTGTTCCACAGATATCAAATACACCAGTGACTTATTGAACCAACAGTGTATAGGATGCTGAAGTGAAGCCACCAAAAAAGCAGGTAATGATCGCTGCTCTCGGGCAGGTAACAATCTGGTAAGAAAACTGGATAAGGAGTTTCATCATCTGAATCAGGGGTATCAGTAACTCAGTCCACTCCAGAAGATTTCAAAGCTGTGAGTCTGAAGTGGCTCCAAGTTGGCAGAGAAGACTTTGTGTAATAAGGAGGGCTTCTTCTGGTACCCAGAGGATGAGGAAGATGATGGATACGGTTGTGCTGGAACGGGGAGTTGCCACCTGGTGCTTATGCACGCCTGCTGAGTTGAGTGAAATCAAAATCACACTGACAGCGTGAAGGGAAAAGCACCCTGCGAGTGACGAATTTAAAACATCGAAGAGAGAAAGGTGAGGCCAGGCAGTTTGACATGACAGTGCGGGTGGAATGTTAATAACCGCAAGTTCAGAGTGCCAGGGCACTGCTACACTATGGAGACCCTGAGATTTTATATAAAAAAACAAAGGATTTATACCTTTTCTATAGGCAGGTAAAATGTGTAAATGAAGACTTGTTGGGCCCCTAACTAATTCTACCATGAAATAGAACTCAAATTCCGAATAAGATATTTTACAACATCTTTTACAATTCATTAAAAAAACAATAGCAAGTTAGGGAGACAATGGGAGACTGAGCAGGACATGTGAGCAGGATTTCAGGGCCAGAAGCAGAGCTCCCAGCCTGCAGCACCCTGAGGCCTTATTGAACACAGTCAGCCTGAGCTCTGGTGTCCTCTGGCTGGTGACAGCATCCCTCCCTCACTCCCGAGAGAGTGTCTGCTAAGACAACTTTTTCATGAAAATAGGACTCTCTGCACAAAGATGAAGGGTTGATAAATTTTCTCCAAACCTAGGAAGGCCAAGGAACCCTGATTCTGAGTGGGGGAAGAAAAACAATCTCTTCTGAGAAATTCAGACCACAAGCTGATCCTCATGGAAACTTGCAATCTGAGTTTATGCAACTTGGGAACTCCACTAACCATGAGGCTAGTCATTTGGTCAAACTTGCCCAGGGCTGGGAGTGAACCCAGGCGCTTGGCAGAAACGTGAGTCCTCCACACCCTGAACCGGAGACTCGAAGGACAGCTACGGATTAAGTTGCAAAGGTCTCTTATCACACAAGGAAACAAGTTCTAGATCCACAAACAAGTGCCAGCAAGGAAAACAACAACAACTGCAGAAACTAACCAGCAAAAATATTTTGATATGGAAATACTACACACTGAATAAAAATAGGCATTTCACTATGCTTAATTAAATAGGGACACATAAAAAGTGACCTAAAAATAATCAGGAGATTTTTAAAAATTAAACTTTCCGATGCTAATTGAAATGAGAAATTCAATGAACAGACTTATCATTTTATTGGGAAAAATCCGAAGAGTGAATTGGACAGCAGATCTGGAGAAATTACCAAGAATACCATAAAAGCAGAAAAAAAAAAGTCGCAGAATATCATGTGCTTTAGGGTCAGGAAGGGATTGTTTTATAAATAAAAACAAAGCAAACAAAATATCTTGGAAAAGCACAATTCTGACATATTGTATTCCTCAAAATGAAGAACACTGTAAAGAAATCTAGTAGATACAAAAATAAGAGAATACATTTTCATTGGCCAAATAAATAAAAATAATATTTACATTCTAGTGTTTAGAAGAACTTTCTGTAAATAAAGAAGGAAAAGACAGCAACCTCTAGTAGGAAAAATACAGGCTTTATATATATATAAGCATATATAACATGTACATTATATATATGGCTTGGTTGTACATATAGAACATGTACATTATATATACATAGCTTAGTTCTGTGTCCCCACCCAAATCTCATGTCAAATTGTAATTCCCACGTGTTGGAAGAGAAGCCTGGTGGGAGACGATTGAATCATGGCGGTGGACTTCCCCTTTGCTGTTCTCGTGATATTGAATGAGTTCCCATGAGATTTAGTTGTTTAAAAGTGTATAATGCTTCGTCCTTTTCTCTCTCTCTCCTGCTCTGCCATGGTAAGATGTGCTTGCTTCCCTTTCGCCTTCCACCATGATTATTAAGTTTCCTGGGACCCTCCAGCCATGTGGAACTGTGAGTCAATTAAACCTCTTTTCTTTATAAATTACTCAGTCCCAGGTAGTTCTTTGTAGTAACACAAGAACAAACTAATACTATATGCAAAGGATATGAAGTGACAATTTGTAGAAAAGGAAACTGAAAAACAATGAATCAATGCTCAAAAGCTTAATTTAGTAAACAGAATGATGCTTATTTAAATAATATAATATCACATTCTGCATATGGACTGGCTAAGCTTAAGAAGCTAGGCAATGCCAAGTATCACGGATGTAGGGGAGATGAAGGCCCCATTCACTGTGGGTGGGCTTGCAGACTGGAGCAGCCATGCTAAAGAACAACCTAGCACTCCCTAGTCAGGCAAAGCATGTGCAAACCTTACCCAAGTATATGCAGTTACCCTTGTACACATTTATGCTATGGAAATTCTGATCCAGGTCAGTAAGGGAACGTGTTCATGGGTGCTTGCTCCAGCATTGCCTGTGGGTCAGGCAGACGGGTGAGACATGGGGCAGTGCCCTGTAGAGTATGTTGGGACCAGCAGATCCTCTCTGCACATTATTAAATAGATGAGTCTTAAAAATACCATGCTTAGTGAAGAAAAAAAGGATAAGAAACAGAACAAGGTATAAAACATGATACCATTCACTTACATTAAAAATGGATTTGCATAAAGCAAAATACATATTATGCAAAAGCACAAACTAGCAATATTACGTGGATTAACTACTTTAGAATATTTTTCTCAAGGGTGGAGTAGAATGGGGTGAAGTAGGTGTTAAAAAGGAAGTTTTTCAAAAAAAGAGAAATGAAAAACCTCAGAAAGAAAAAATAAATAAATAAAAAAGGAAAATGCCATAGTGTATATGACAGAGGAATAAATAAATTGATAAATGGAGCACAATACAGAGCTGAGAAATGTATATATTTATATCTAAATAGGTAAATGGAGATCTGAATAAAACATATATGAAATTACAGTAGAGCTCACTTTGTAGGTCAGTAAAGGAAGAATGGGCTTTTCAATAAATGAAATTAGATTACTGCATCAAACCCCTAAAGACATAAATGTTAAAGACAAATTTAGAAATTTCAGAAAATAATATAAAAAAGCTCTATTCTCACCGGGTAGGAAAGGATGTTTTAATAGGATATGGAAAATTGCAAATTATAAAGAAGATAAATTAAACCACAACCTATTATGCTAAAATAATTTAGGTTACAGTGCTCTTAAAAATGAGGCTAATCAAGATATCATAAAAACAATGAAAACACAAGCACAAAGCAAGACATGATTATTTTCAATACATAGATCAACAGGAGAAATTCAAGTACCCAATAGAAAAATAGAAATAAAGAGTAATTTCACAGAAGAGGAAATGCGAATAACCAATGAACACATGAAAAAAAAAATCCCACCACCAGTAGTAACCTGGGAAAGGCAAATTAAAAACTAAATGAGATGCATGTTCTAATCCAGTGGATTGGCAACCTTTTTTTTAGTCTGAAAATATCTAGTACTGATGAGGATATGTAGTGATTGGAACATTTTTCTAAAACTGGTAGGAGTATAAATTTCTAGGACTATTTTGGAAAATCAGCATTATCCAGTAAAGCTGAAACTGTGCATTCTCTGTCACCCAGAAATTTCATTTTTATGTATAAACTCCATAAAAAAACTCTACCTTCCACCTCATCTCCCAGAATATGCATATATATGTACGTATGCATATTCATACCAATGTTCATAATAAGGACGTAGCTGGAAATAACTCAAATGCCTATCAACACAAAAACAGATTGAGACGGTTTAGTAGAATCTTTTTTTTTTTTGCTTTTGAGCCCAGGTTGGAGTACAGTGGCGCAACCTCTGCTCATTGCAACCTCTGCCTCCTGGGTTCAAGCCATTCTCATGTCTCAGCCTCTGAGTAGCTGGGACTACAGGCATGTGCCACCATGCCCAGCTAATTTTGTAGTTTTAGTAGAGATGGGTTTTCGCCATGTTGGCCAGGCTGGTCTCAAACCCCTGACCTCAGGTGATCTGCCCATCTCGGCCTCCCAAAGTGCCGGGATTACAGGCGTGAGCCACTGTGCCCAGCCTTTAGTACAATCATTTCATAGAATATTAGTCATCAGTGAAAAGAAGAGAATTGGAGAGACACAGAACAATGTAGATGCATCTCACCCAGTAGGATTCCGTTTATATAAATTTCAAAATATGCAGAACTCAATAAAAAACATAGAAATATGCACAGAAACCTGAAGAAAAGGGAGGGAATTATAGATAAGCATTCAGGAGAATGGTCGTATGGGTGGGGTGGGGCAGGTCAGAGGAGGTGCCTGCAGGGCCTTCAACGGTGACGTGTGTCTGGGCACACGCACGCACACTGGCATGGTCTTAAACTGACTCAGGTACACAGGTATTTCTTGTACCATTATTCTTATTGCTTAACATACATTTTGTAAGTATCCTTTGAAAGCTACTCATTATTTTTTAAAGCAGCATTTTTGTTTGTTTGTTTTGTTTTGTTTTGTTTTTTGAGATGGAGTCTCGCTCTGTCACCCAGGCTGGAGTGCAGTGGCACAATCTTGGTTCACTGCAACCTCCACCTCCCAGGTTCAAGCGATTCTCCTGCCTCAGCCTCCCGAGTAGCTGGGATTACAGGTGCATGCCACCATGCCTGGCTAATTTTTGTATTTTTCAGTAGAGACGGGGTTTCACCATGTTGTCCAGGTGGTCTTGTACTGCTGACCTCAAATGATCCGCCCATCTCGGCCTCCCAAGGTGCTGGGATTATAGGTGTCAGCCACTGCACCCAGCCCAACATTTTGTTTTTAAAGTTTGTGAGCAAGGAAATGCCCAGGGCAGAATATTATCAAAGAAACAACATGGAATTTGCGATTGGTCAGAAAACGGTCAGCCAGACATGAAGGTCATGTATCGTATGAATCTATTTATATGAAATATCAGGGCAGGTAAATCCTCACAGATAGACAGCAGATTTGTGGTTGTCAGGGGCTGAAGGAAGACGAGAATGGGGACTGACTGCTTCATGCGTATGTGTTACCTTATGGAGTAATTAAATGTTTTGGAACTTCATTGAAAGTGATTATTGCACAGAGTCGTGGACATACTAAATGCACGGAATTGTACACTTTACAATGATTAATTTTATGATATGTAAATCTCACTTCAACTTTGAAAACATTGTATTAAAAAAAACCCAAAACAGTCCAAGGTCTTAGTTCCAGCTTTGTTATTTACTAACTTGGGGGCTTTTCTCTGAGTATGCTTTCTTCTTTATTTAACAAGCATACAGATGCCTGTCACAAGGTGAACATTGTGGGACTAAGAATGTCATGTATATATCGTCCCTACATATAGTAGAAATTTAATAAATTATAGCAGTCCTTATTTTCATTGTTAATGGAAAAATCTGTAGGCTGTACATTGGAAAGACTTGAGTTTTTAAATCTTTGACCCATAAATATGTAATTTTTCCTAAGCTCCCCCCAAACAGCAGTAGCTGAAAGCATGACTGTTTCTTGCAAGTATGAATGCCACTACATCACAAAGAAGATTTTAGCCAATTTTCTAGGTCACATAACGTGTTTTATACATACACACACACACACACACACACACACACACACACACACGATTAAAAAACTAGCTTAATTCTTAAAACATATAGACATATACACGCACATAAATGCACACACATATATATGTATGCACATATATAGTATACATATACACACATACAGACACACACAGACACACACATATACACACACAGATGCACATATATATGTGTGTGTGTATATACGTGTGTCTATGTGTGTTAAGAATTAAGTAAAATAAATTAGTTTTTCCATCATGGGAGAAAAGCTCTGAAGAAAAGAAAAAAAAATTAGCAAATGCTGAGAGTACAATATAACAGAATTTCTATACGGTAGCAATTTAAAATGTATAATTGTATAGGACAAGGAAGAAGTTCTTTGCATGTTATTGATCTACACTGTATAGGAGCCGAGTAGGAGACCATTGATGTCATAATAAGAATTCAGGTGCATTTTCATTATTCATAGGCTAAAGCTCTTCAGCTTCATGAAACTTGTGAAATAAAAGGCAAAACAAAAAGCATCACTCCTTTATAGCTCTTTGCTCAGCAATTATTCAAAAACTTCAAAACAAAGACATTTTTTCTGGAAAGGTCAAGAAAACAAAACTTGGTGATTATACCTAATAAGCTTTTTGTTTTGTTTTGGTCTTTTGTCACACATACTGACATGGGTCTTCAGTCCTCACTTTAGTGAGCCAAAAACCTCAAGGACTTTTTTGCTTATATGGTTTTATTGCAGGTGACTTTAGCAGCAAATAGAATTAAAAATGATGTCACTATACTGAATATTAAGTCTGTATATAATTCATATTTGACATACTTAAAAATATTTGGCTGGGCGTGGTGGCTCACGCCTTTAATCCCAGCACTTTGGGAGGCCTAGGTGGGTGGATTGCCTGAGCTCAGGAGTTCAAGACCAGCCTGGGCAACACAGTAAAACCCTGTCTCTACTAAAATACAAAAAATTAGCTGGGTGTGGCGGTATGCACCTGTAGTCCCAGCTACTGGAGAAGCTGAGGCAGGAGAATTGCTTGAACCCG
The DNA here is from genome assembly GCF_000001405.40 of Homo sapiens. Classification (NCBI taxonomy): domain Eukaryota; kingdom Metazoa; phylum Chordata; class Mammalia; order Primates; family Hominidae; genus Homo; species Homo sapiens. Next base: position 4,157,043 of record NC_000010.11, on the reverse strand, counting down.
GTAGGCGGAGGTTGTAGTGAGCTGAGATCGTGCCACTGCACTCCAGTCTGGGCAACAGAGCAGACCCTGTCTCAAAAAAAATTCCTAACTTTGGATTTATTTTTTGAAAAATAACAACATGGTCTGACATGTAAAGACTTTGAAAGATCTCACTTCCATCTTCAGACCAAGAAAAAACTGATCAAACTGAAAATCAACAACTCTTCTTATATCCATCAGAGACTCGCAGTCACAGGGCAGACTGCTGCCCCCAAAACGGGAAAGAGGGGTAGATACTCAGAGAGAATAACAGTTTACTTGTGACAGAAACCCAGGAGCAGAAGCTGACACATTGGAGGCAGGACTGTCTGGGTTTGTGGTTTAGAGTCAATCATTTTTTGTTTGCTTGTTTGTTTTTAAAGACAGGGTTTCGCTCTGTTGTGCAGGCTGGAGCACAGTCGTGCCAACACAGTTCACCCTAACCTCAATCTTAAGGGATGTTCCCCGACCTCAGCTTCCATAGTAATTAAAATTAAAGGCCAGGAGTGCACTCTGGCACCTGTCTAATTTTTTGTTTTATTTCTTTTATTTTATTTATTTATTTATTTATTTTGAGATGGAGTCTCACTCTGTCACCCAGGCTGGAGTGCAGTGGCACGATGTCAGCTCACTGTTACCTCTGCCTCCCGGGTTCAAGTGATTCTCCTGCCTCAGCCTCCCAAGTAGCTGGGACTACAGGCACGCACCATCATGCCCAGCTAATTTTTGTATTTTTAGTAGAGACGGGGTTTCACCATGTTGGCCAGGATGGTCTCGATCTCATGACCTCATGATCCACCCACCTCGGCCTCCCAAAGTGCTGGGATTACAGGCGTGAGCCATCGCGCCTGGCCTTTTTGTTTTATTTCTTATTGAGATGAGGTCTTGCTATGTTGCCCAGGCTGGTCTTGAACTCTTGGCCTGAAACATCCCACCTCGACCTCCCAAAGCGCTGGGACTACAGGCATGAACCACTGTGCCCTGCCAGTGTCAGTCATTAATTTTGAAAAATTCTCAGTCATTATCATTTCAAATAAACAAATAAGATTTGTCTCAGGTATGAAAGGTTGGCTCAACATTCAAAAAGCAATTAACATAATCTACCACTTCCACAGTCTAAAGAAGAAAAATCATACAATCATATGTGAAAGAATTTGATAAAATCCAATACCCATTCATGATAAAACACCTCAGCAAACTAGCTATAAAGAAGAACTTTCTCAACCTGACATAGAACATCTATTAAAACCTACAGCTCTCCTCTTAATAAATAATGAAAAATTGAATGCTTTCGTGCTAAGATCAGAAATAAGGCAAGGATATCTACTCTCGAAATTTCTATTTAACATCAAAATGAAAGTTCTAGCTAATAAAATTAGCAAAAAATAAAAATTATACAGATTGGAAAGGAACAAATAAGACTCTCTTTGTTCATAGATGACATGATTATCTCTGTTAAAAAAAAACTCAATGACAGAAAGCTGGAATGAATAAGTGATTGTACCGAGGTTGTAAGGTACAAAGGAAGTATACAAAAGTCAATTGCTTGCCATATACCAGTAATGAACAATTAAAATTTAAAATTAGAAACACATCACTTATATTAGCACCCAAAAATGATACTTAAGTGTAAATCTGATGAAAATATGTACAAGAGCTAAAAGTAGGAAACTCAGATAAAACACATCAAAGAAGATGTAAATAAGTGGAGAAATATTCCACATGTGTGGGTAAGAAGACTCAGTGTTGTTAAGATGTCAGCTGTTCTCAACTTGATCTATAGATTCAATATGTTCCCAGTCAAAATGCCAGCAAGTTAATTTTTAGACATCAACAAATGGATTCTATTATATGGAGAGACAAAACACCCAGCTTGCCAAAAGAGTGTTGAAGAAGAACAAAGTCAGAAGACTTGCTCTGTTTGACTTCAAGACTTATTATAAAGCTACAGTAATGAAGACTGTGGTACTGGCAAAATAATAGATGAACAGATCAATGGAACAGAACAGAGAGCCCAAACATAGAATCACACAGTGCAATATACATATATTTAAGGTACACAATATAAAAGCTGTTATTCAAGGATTTGCTTCCATTTTATGCGTGCGCATAATATATAGAAAGTTATCTGGGGAGATGTACTAATAAGTAGTCAAGGTAAATGTTTTTGGATGGAAAGATGGCAAATGGATTTTTAAAATTATTATTATGTTTATCAGTGTTTCTACATCTATGTCTTTTGTAATTAAAATATTAGGTTTAAAAATGTTATTAAATTAACACAAAAATAAATTACACTGATGTTTTGTAGGAGCATTGTATGTAAAATAAAATAAAGTGAAACATGCAAGAACTTAGTGGAATATGCTTCCTTTTCCTTACTTTGTATTTGGGTGCTGAACATGCAGGTTTAGTCCATCAGAGGCCTCGACGGTGCCTTTATTCATCTTCCAACCTGCTGGTAATAGCGTGGCTTCTCATCTTTAGAACATGATCCTGTTCCTGCCAAGGGTGAACTCACGTAAGGTTTATCTGTACTATTTCATTTCAGTCCCTCCCACATCAAAGTATGCTGTGACCTACATAAGGACTTTAAAAGTGAGTTATTTTTTACCCTCAATCCTTCCTGGCTTCTCATGAGCTCATGGTCCTCCCAGCAGATAATTTTAAGCCATGTTTGAGTTTCTCCATAGAACTTGTCCTGTGCCATATTTCATTTAAAGATGGATATCCTTTTTCTCAGATAAGAACCAAATCATCCAGCCCTCTTTGTTATCTCTTTTTTTGGGAAAAGTCCTAGCAGCAGTGGGCTGGCACCCAAGAAGCCCTAAAATCATCCCAAACTGGCTATTCTCGGTTAATCCATCTGTAGACTGCTGTCCAGGAGGATAGAAATGCAAATTATTTGCAAGCGAGTGAAGTCCGAGCTGACCAGTGTATTCAGAAAATAGGCTCCTGCCATTAAATGACATTTCCAAATAATAAAAACATTCAGATGGCAAAACCAAATCAAACCTCAACCGAAAATAAGCTTCCTTACGTTCCCCTCCTGCTGCAGAGAAATTCTCCTAAAATGCTCCTGTGCCCCTGGCTGCCAGGGGGGCTGCCTCCTTACAGGCCTGAGGTGTCACCTGAGGTTTCCCATGTGGCAGGTGTTTCTCAGAAGAAAAAGAAAGCAGTGCTCCTTTGGGACCCAAAAGAGCTTTCTTCACATGATGAGGCCTTTAAAATGAGCAGGGTGGACTGTGGAGGTTTTGAGGAAGTGAAGTTGCCAGGTAGCCAGGAGATTCTCTGGGGTGGGTGGAAAGGCCCAGCAGATGCATCTCTAGCCTCGCAGGGGAGCCCGCCCTGGGCCCCTTGCCCTCATGAAGAAATGGGGATGAGTTCAACGGGGCTTCCACTTGCTTTTCCTATTTTTTTTTTTTTTTTTTGAGACAGAGTCTCGCTCTGTCACCCAGGCTGGAGTGCAGTGGAGTGATCTTGGCTCACTGCAATCTCTGCCTCCTGAGTTCAAGCAATTCTTCCGCCTCAGAAGGTGAGTAGCTGGAACTGCAGGTGTGTGCCACCACACCCAGCTGATTTTTGTATTTTTACTAGAGACCGGGTTTCACCATGTTGGCCAGGCTGGTCTTGAACTCCTGGCCTCGTGATCCACCTGCCTCGGCCTCCCAAAGTGCTGGGATTACAGGCATGAGCCACCGTGCCCAGCCTCCACTTGCTCTTGACCTGAGGGACCCCAAATGTGTGCACTCATTTTCTGACCTTTCCGACTAAATTTTTAGTTCATTGAACCCTCTTTCAACCGTTTGGCAACTATAAACCTGTATTTTCAGCAGCAGTCCTTTTTAGCCAGGCATGGGGGCTCATGCCTGTAATCGCAGCACTTCGGGAGGCTGAGGCGGGGGATCACTTGAGGTGAGGGGTTCAAGACCAGCCTGGCCGACATGGTGAAACCCTGTCTCTGCTAAAAATACAAAAAGTAGCTGGGTGTGGTGGCACACGCCTGTAATCCCAGCTACCTGGGAGGCTGAGGCAGGAGATCTCTTGAACCCGGGAAGCAGAGGTTGCAGTGAGCTGAGATTACACCACCGTACCCCAGCCTGGGTGTCAGAGTGAGACCCTGTATCAAAAAAAATAAATAAATAAAAACTAAAAATTAAATTATTAAGATATTTTTAAAATATTTATAAAAATATGTTTAGACCAGTTCACAAAGGAAATAGGGAAGGGGCTCCGCCCTGTTCATAATTACACAACATGGGCTCTCCTCTTGGTATTCCAGGGGCCACACTCTGGTCAGCAGGAAGCCACATGGATTTTCTAAGACAAAGTGAATTTATAAAATTGTAACTATTAAAGCATTTAGTTAATGCTGCTCAGATTTAATCACTTTAAAGGAAATGTCTCGACACACTATTTTTTTTAATTTTGTTTAGGGAATCTTAAAACTGGGAAGCAGGAGATAATAAGGCATAAACCAAAGAACGGTCAAGAACAGCAAAGGTGGGCAAAGCGAAGAAGGAGTCACAAGTTGAATTCTCTGAGTTTTCAAATTGTTTCTCCTTCTTTGCTTTGCCCAGTTAGTTTTTACCTTTGGTGAGCCACAGCCTTGATCTGTTCTCAGTTTAGATGACTGTGATATGAAGGCCTAGGTAAGAAGTACGACATATGAAAATAAAAACACAGTCAAGAGTGAATTTGAGGGACGTGGTTGTCACTTCACGGAGCGCTGCTGAAGCTGAAAAAAAACAGATCAACAAATCACGGCTATGAGGGGCCTTCACACGCGACGCCTGTGCGCCATGCTGTTCCTATAGGGAAGTCAAAGAGCCTGCTTCATTTCCGGGAATAAGCGATACATTTGTAACCCTGGAATCCAAAATATACAAATCCAACATGGAAACATAGGCAGGTCAATGCATTCGGTTTAAGTATGATACTCACAGGAAAGTAAAAGCTAACAGGAACACAATCGCGTAGCACACTTGAGAAATAATGGAATCAGACGATGAAGATGCTTTATCCCACAACTGGAAGATGGGTTTGGTTTTTGCCTTTAAGTTTTCAACAATGAGCAAAAACATTTCATAGAAAAGAACCAAGCTGATGAAAAAAAAACAAAAACAAATAAATAACAAGGACCACAGCCTGAGGCAGCTGGCACAGCACGGTGAAGACCCGGCTGGAAGTCAAGCAGGGGAAATCTCAGGTCTGTGCTTAGCTGGTGGGAAAGGGATCTTCCTGTTGGATTCCACAGCTCAGAAACCAGAGTACAAGCTGGGACTGACTCACCTCACCCCCGCGTTCCCAGCATTGATAAAGAAAACTGGCTCTGATCAATTAACCAGCGATCCCCTGCACAGCCCTTCTGAGCCGCTGCCGCATCCGGTACTGCAGAGGGCGCCTTTCACCCCACGGGAGCTCGCTGCCCCAGGACCATAGTGAAACAATCTCAGAAAATAAGTGGGTCCCCGGCCAAAGTGTCTGTTGTAACCTCGTGGCCATGAAGAGTTGTTTGAGTTGGGTAGGCTGCGCGTTGACATGCAGGTAAACGTTTGCATTGAGCAGTTTATGTCAACAGGAGCATCTTCATGTAGTAAAACCCAGTCCTTAGATGACAAGAATCCCTAATGCAGCAATGACTAGAGCTGGTGGAAAATTTGTTCAGAGGACAAATTTAGTCTAGAACACATTTTTTGTTCTATCTATATAGTTTCATCTAAGATATATAATGTTATATATACTATATACATATGTTATTTTTGTGGAGAGTGCTAATACAAAACCTAAAGAAGTTTGAAAATTAGTGTAAATATTCAAGTATTTTTAACGTCTTAGAAGTATACGAAAACAATGAAAAACCGTTTCTGCTGAAGACAAAAGAGACCCATAGTTTTAAACAGCACCCACAAAGCTTTATTCATGGGAGACAATCAGGCTCGTCTCCTGTGTCAAATGGCAGCAGTGACCTGGCCTCTGAATGAGATTTGGTGAGGTTTTAGGTTCTGTGAAAAGACTTGCAGAGAAATGGGCATGAACTCTCCTCTCCATAGGCTGGACAATAATCTAGATATCACCAACCCTGGAGACCCTGGCAGCCAAGACTACGTACATCGGAGGATCCGGGGAAGTACTAAGACGCAGAGGTGTGAAGAACCCTGGGAAGCTGTCAACATCAGCTCTGCAGGAGCAGGCTTGGTCTCCCTGGCCTCCTAAAGGTGAAGCAATGGCTGCATAGGGGCAGAGACCTACCTGTTCCTGAATGGGAGAGACAAAAGGACAGGTGAATGGGAAAGAGGCTTCATCCAGGAGTCTTGGGGGGTGATGTATAGATACTCCCTGCTTCTATGCTGGTGGCCCGTGGAAGGATAAATCATTCTTCCTTTCTCCATGCTTAGAACTGCCAACATTTGGGGTGCAGGTAGAGAAAATTAAGAGATCAAAATATCCTAATTCTAGAGGTTTGAAGGGATTTCTTTACAAGACACTGGAACAGCATCCAAGACCGTATATGAGAAATGTTGACTGCCTTTTGAAGTAAAAGAAAGTCTGAATATACAATTATTTGGAAAAATATATCTGCCTTATACCCCATCTGAAAAAGTTCTTGGGAAAATACTTGAAACCAAATAGCAAATACAACCTAATAGAGAGCTCAAGGTGGGCCATAAATAAATATTCTGTAAATGCAAACAAAAACGAAAGCTAGGATGTCAAGCTGAGAGATTGTTAACTTTAAAACTAAAAGCACAAAGCAATAAAGAAGAGAGTCTGTTGTTTATATGTACTAAATTTTACAGGCCTAAATAATAAAGCATGAACTAAACTATTAATATTATATCTTTAGTGAGATAGTTTAATCTGTCTTTTTGAGAATTGGATCAATTTAAAAGATAAACAAGTATTTCATAAAAATTCAAGTATAAAATAAATGTGATTAAAAATTAAATAATAAAATAAGTAAATGAGAATGTGAAGTAATTGATATTCATAGAATCTTATATTCCTTGAGCAGACAATATTTTTATTCACATGTTTATGGTGATAGAATATTTATAAAATTAATCATTTTCTTGGTCAAAAGATGAATACATCTAGACACTTAACGCAAAGTTTGACGACTATTATTGATATTATTATATTGTATGTGAAACCTTGCTAAAAGAATAGATTCTAGGTGCTCTTGAAGGGAAGAACATGGTCCCTTTAAATGATGGGGAAGCGGGGAAGGGAAGTGCGGAGTAGAGGAGGGCGTGGTCCCTGGCTAGGGCTCCACCCCCACGGACATAGGTGAGGTCAGGCACTCCTCACTTCATGAACAAATGTTGCATTTCCCAACACCACCCTGGCCTGCCGCGCCCCCATCCTGTGCCTATAAAACCCCGGGACACCTTAGTAAGTAGACATACAAGCGGCTGGACGTCGTGAAGAACACTTGGGTGGAAGAAGACACAGAGGCAGCTGGGCGGAAGAAGACACAGAGGCAGCTGGGCGGAAGAAGACACAGAGGCAGCTGGGCGGAAGAAGACACAGAGGCAGCTGGGCGGAAGAAGACACAGAGGCAGCTGGGCGGAAGAAGACACAGAGGCAGCTGGACATCAAGAGGAACACACTGGCAGGCGCTGGCACATTGGCAGGCCACCTACCGGCAAAACGACGTGGAGTTTGGCCAGGGCAGTCAAGAGGAGAGCCCAGGTCGCTGAGCAGCCCGACTGCAAGGGAAAAACCATTTTCCTTCTGGCTCCCCCATCCGCTGAGAGCTACTTCCTCTCAATGAAACCCTGCACTCATTCTCCAAGCCCAGGTGTGATCCGATCCTTCTGGTACACCAAGATAAGAACCCGGGATACAGAAAGTCCTCTGTCTTTGCAACAAGATAGAGGGTCTAATTGAGCTGGTTAACACCAGCCTGTAGGTAGCAAAACTAAAAGAGCACCCTGTAACACACGCCCGCTGGGGCTTCAGGAGCTGTAAACATCCACACCTAGACACTGCCCTGGGCTCGGAGCCCCACAGCCTGCCCCATCTGTATGCTCCCCTAGAAGTCTGAGCAGCGGGGGCCTGAAGAAGCGAGTCACACCTCCGGGCACACGCCCTGCAAAGGGCACAAGGGAACCTTTCTCGTTTCACTCTCACTACGTAGACACACACGCAAGGTAACTACCAAAGATAATACATAGAATACTTCACTGTAGTAATCACTTGTTTTCATATGTATACATATATACACACACATATATATGTGTGTGTATATATATATGAAAACATTATGTTGTGCACCTTAAATATATACAATGAAAATACATAAGTACATTTTTTAAATAAAAATTTTGTTGAGCTTATTCTGTGAACATAAACTGATATAATAATATAAAGGGGCTGAAAAGTAAAATCTCTTGGGAACTAAGAAATACATTCCCAAATAAATGACTCAATTCAAAGATATAATCAAAAGAAAAATTACAACTTTGTAAAAAGTCATGAAGAAGAATACTCTTCCTATCTAAAACTGTAGAACAAAGTGAAAGCAGTCCCCCGAGAGGGGGAAAAAAAATCACATAAAATATCATCTTTATTTTCAACGAAGCTAAAAAATCAAAGGGAGTTTGTCCTCATCCTAAGAGTATAAAAAATTCCAACAAAAAGCGAATAAGAAATGTAAATTGATATTAAAAACTAAAAAACAAAAAGGTAGCAAAAATTTAAAAATTCAACTATAATTCTTATATCAAAGTAATGATTTTTTCAATATTTTATTGTGGACAATACAAATGCCATAAAACATCCTAACCATTTTCAAGTGCACCGTCAGTCTGTTAGTGGCGTTAAGTACATTCCCACTATTCTGAAGCCATCATCACCATTTCTCTCAGAGATTCATCTTGTAAAACCGAAGCTCTAAACTTCATCACACAACTCCCCACCCCCTCCACTCTCAGGCCCTGGCAAACACCATTCTTCTTTCTGTCTCTATGAATCTGAGTACTCTAGGAAACTCAGGTAAGTGAAGTCTTACAGTGTTTATACTTATACATTACGCTTATTTCACTCAGCATAACGTCCTCAAGGCTCATCCATATTGTAGCCTCTGTCAGAATTTCCTTCTTTTTTCAGATTGAATAATATTCCATTGCATGTATTGACTGCATTTTCCCTATCTGTTCATTGGTTGACAGACATTCCACATTTTAGCTATTATGAATATTGCTGCCATCAACACCAGGTACAAATTTCCCTTGAAGACCCCACTTCTTTCGGGTATGTACCCAAAACATCCCAGTTATACTTATTTTTTCATAGTGGCCATCCTAATCAAAGTTAATTTAATTATATTAATGCCTCATGAACTTCTTTAAAGGAAAAAGAGAGAAGGCAAAAATAAACCAAATTATGAGAGAGAAACAAGGAATAACCATACATATAGAAGTGATTAAAGCAGTCATAAAAATATATATGAAACTTTCTGACAAGACATTTGAAAGTTTAGAGGAAATGGATGATTTCCCAGCAAACTATGTGTTGCCAAAATTCACCCAAGAAGAAAGGGGAAACTTAAATACATCAGTTACCATAAGAGAGTTTAGAAAAAGACACTTAAAAATCTACCATTGAAAAAGTCACTGAGAACAGATGGGTTCCCAGCTGAGGTTTATGTAACATGAATTTTATATAACCTTTAAGAAAGAGAGCTTTTCAAAGTTAAATTATTCCAGGCCTTAGAAAAAAAGATGAAAGGCCTCCCCAATTCATTTGACAAAGGCAATATAGCTCTTTAAAAAATCTGATATAGAACAATAAAGGAAAATTGTACCCAGATCTGGTTTATGAATACAGATGAAAAATTTATTAAGTAATAGGAATTTTATTTCAGCAGTATTTTCCTTTATTTATCTGATTTTATTAGTTTATGTTGGTGTTGTTGAGCACCTAATATGTTCCATATACTTTTATCTGTGTCAGAAATGCAGAAATAGAACAAAAAACAGAAGTCTCTACCACCCTTCATGGAGCTTCCACTCTAGTGTGAAGAGAGAGACAAGAAACAAACTAAGAAGAAAACACATACCTAATATGTTAAGTGGTGATAAGTGAAATGGATGAAAGCTGAAATAAAGAATGTAGGCAGAGGCCAGGCACGGTGGCTCACGCCTGTAATCCCAGCACTTTGGGAGGCCGAGGCGGGCAGATCACCTGAGTTCAGGAGTTTGAGATCAGCCTGGCCAACATGCTGAAACCCCATCTCTATTAAAAATACAAAAAATTAGCCAGGAGTGGTGGCAGGCGCCTGTAATCTCAGCTTCTGAGGAGGCTGAGGTAGGAGAATTGCTTGAACTTGGGAGGCAGAGGTTGCAGTGAGCCGAGATCTCACCATTGCACTCCAGCCTGGGCGACAGAGCGAGAAACTGTCTCAAGAAAAAACAAAACAAAAATGTAGGTAGATAGTGTGTTAGGGAATTGAGATCACTCAGGTGATGACTGAAAACTTGAAACAGATGAGAAAGCATTGGCTATGTGGAAATGCGGGGCTGGGGGCATGGTGGGGAGACCATTCCAGGCAGAGGGAGAAGACACAGCTGACTCCACAGGAGAAAGACCATGTGCTGGATCAAAACAAACCCAGGAGAAAGCACAGAAGAGCTCAACAGAGAGGCCAGGGTACCAGACCATGCAGGACACCTGGGCAGTAGTGAGCCTGCCTTTTAGGAAGCCAGAGTGGCCATTCCTTGGCCTCCCATTCAACAGATTACTCTTGCTGCTGTATTGGAGGGGGAAAAATCAGGATAATTTTGCAATTATCCAGACAAGGATCCTGGCACCTTGGGTTAAGGTGGTGATGGTAAAGATGGTGAGAAATGATGTGATATATTTTTAAGACAAAATCAAGAGGATATTTTAATGGATGAATTTGTGATGTGAGGAGAAGAAATGGTAAGAAAGACTTCAAGAACTGGAGCTTGAGAAGAAATCTACATAAAGAAGAATCATAAAGAGAGACTGGAAGACTGATGGATGAACAAGTATGGGTAAACATGGGGAGAGATCAGAAACTGATTTGAAGACATCAAGATTGTCATGCCTACTAGACATCCAAATGGCATCAAATAGAGCATTAGATGTATGGGACTTGAGTTGATGGGGAGAGGTCTTGTCTGGAAATAAACATTTGGGAGTCTCTAGTATAGAGTTATTGCTTAAAACTGTAAAATTACATGAGATCTCTAAGGGAGTTTGAATAGAAAAGGAAGATGCCCAAGGAGAAATTCCAAAATTAAGGATTGTTTTAGTGCAACTCTAGAGGCCAGAAACCTATTCAGCAGGAGCTCAATAGAGAATGGGGCCGGGCACGGTGGAGCACACCTGTAATCCCAGCACTTTAGGAGGCTGAGCCAGGTGGATCACTTGAGGTCAGGAGTTCCAGACCAGCCTGGTCAACATGGTGAAACCCTGTCTTTGCTAAAAATACAAAAAATTAGCCAGGCTTGGTGGTGCATGCCTGTAATCCCAGCTACTCAGCAGGTTGAGGCAGAATAATTGCTTGAACCCAGGAGGTGGAGGTTGCAATAAGCCGAGATTGGGCCACTGCACTCCAGCCTGGGCAACAGAGCGAGACTGTGTCTCAAAAAAAAAAGAGAGAATGGGAAGGCAGGAAATGGAGAAAGTAAACGCTGACAGCTTGGAGGGTTTCTTCTGTAAGAAAGGGAGGAAAATGGGGCAGAAAAGTAAGATAAAGAGGGGGTTTTATTTTTCAGCCCTTGGAGAGAAACAGCAGCACGTTTGTATATCCATGGGGAAGATTGATTACTCAGGGCAAGAGAAAGGCATGCTGAGAGCACTGTCCCTGAGCAAGTGGGAGGAGGGGTACGCACAGGTCACAGGGGAGGCAACCTTGCTGACAGTGGCTGGAGAGGGTGGAGAGGAGCACAGGTGATCAGCCTGCAGTTTCTTCAGATGCGGAACAGAAGGTGACATCATCGACCAAGGGTAGGGATGTGGAAAAGCGTAGGAAGTTTCTGGGAAGAGGAGTGGGAGAGGAAAAGGCTATGGAAGTATAGTTTGATTGGTGGACAGCTTTCAGAGCTACCTAAGGTCTATTTATTTTCCCCCAGCCGCATTCAGCTGGATGGGTGTGGGCATGGAGTAGGCAGAAAGATGAGTCACTCCTTGGTCACGTTGGATCCATTATCCAAGCCTAAAAAAGAAAATTAACACAAAGTGTTAAAAAGATATTTAATAAAATCCTGGTTAGCCATTCTTATGTAAAATTTTCAGTTTACATAAAAGAAGTAGATTTGAATTGCTTGGGCAAAATAATGACTATTTCTATAAAACAAGTGGAATTATTCTTCTAAATGATAAAGTGCAAACTCTAGTTTGATTAAAATCATAAATTAGACATGGATTACTACTATTACCATTATAACATTATTTTCTTCAAAGATCTATTTATCGTAATTAGACACAGAGTTTAATAAGTGGGACAATGTTTGCAAAAGATAAAATTGTCTCTTTTTATGACATTATTTTATAACTAGAAAAACCCAGAAAACACAATATAAACAATTAGAATTAACAGAAGAGCTAGGTAAGGCAGATGGATATAAGATAAATATGTAAAAGGCATTAGGTTTTTTTCTAGTTTAATAATAAAAACAAATAAAAATAAGAAAAAATTCCCATAATAATGAGAAAAACATAAGGTATTAAGGAATGAAATTCACCAGATAGAAACAACCTTTATTAAAAACGATAGAATATCTTATTGAGGAATATAACATATTATATGAATAAATGGAAAGACAGAGAATATTCTAGTGTGAGAAGTCTTTGATATAAAAGTGTGAAACTTTTCAAGTGTAATATACAATGATAATTATTGTATTAAGCTTCACTTGAATTATATGACCATAAAATTTATATGAGAAAATAAATGTCAAAGAATACCCAGGAACATTTTAAATAGAAGCCTAGGAAGGAAGTGATTTGACTTACCAGATATAGGAAAAACTATAGAGCCATTACAGTAAAATTAATGTGGCATTGGCTGGGAGATATTTAAATAGGTGATATGAGACATGAATATATAATGAAGATAGCATTTCTATTTAGTGAGAAATGGTTAGGCCTTTTAATAAACAGAATTGGCAAAAATAGCTGCACATCTGGAAAAAGATGCAATTTGAATGCTATTTCGCTTCTTATAAAAATAAATTCCAAGTGATTAAACACTTGAATTAAAAAAATAAAATAGGCCAGGCACAGTGGCTCACGCCTGTAATCCCAGCACTTTGGGAGGCCGAGGCAGGTGGATCGCCTGAGACCAGCCTGGCCAATGTGGTGGAACTCCATCTCTACTAAAACTACAAAAATTAGCTGGGAGTGGTGGCGGGTGCCTGTAATCTCCTGCTGAGGCAGGAGAATCTCTTGAACCCAGGAGGCAGAGGTTGCAGTGAGCCAAGATCACACCACTGCACTCCAGCCTGGGAGACAGAGCCAGGCTCCATTTCAAAAAAATAAAATAACACAGTTTTTGAATAAAGCCTAAGTGAGCAGAGACAAATTCAGATGGCCCTGAAAGCTCACCTCCCTGCTTTTGGCAGTTGATTAAGAAACTACCTCATTAGATCTACGTTGGAGCTCCCTGGATTCTGACAATACGTGTTTGCTGCAACCATTCCCTGTACATATGTACGTGATGAGGGAATCCATGTACACTCAGCTCAACCTCAACTCTGCAGGATGGCCAGGGTCCCGTACTCCATCTGTGAGTTACCTTCATTCCATTGACTTTTATGCATCTTTAAAGCTGCCTGTATTTTTGTGCACTTTGTACAACTCTAGGTAACAAAAAGTTTAAGCTAAAGGCTTGAGAATCCCATTTAACAAAGGTTGGAATCTCAGAAGCTATATAAAAAAAAAAAAAAAAAAAAACAAAACGATGCGCATTATCCAGCTCACAAAAATAAAATAGTTGTGTGATAAAATGTATCACAAAGAAGTAAATAGAACAACAGTTATTTGAGGGGAAATTGCTAATATGTAATCATAAGAAGATCTGAGAGATTCACCTGAAGGGGACAAATAGTCCAATAGAAAAATGGGCAAACAGTATGAAAAGGCAATTCACAGAAGTGCACAGCTAAATGGCAGCAAATTTATGACATTATGTTCAAGCTTACAATAAAGACAAGCAGATTATAGTAACAATGGGCTATCATTTTATACACAGGAAAAAAAGTAACTGTTATTGCTAGCAGAGATACAGTAAGTGGATATTCTCATACATTGGCAATTGAAATGTAAATTATAGCTTTTTGAAAAAAATCATTACATATTATGATCACATGCATAGATTTATGTAAAACTGCACGTATGTGCTAAAAATTTTTTAAAAGGAATTAAGGCTGCAGGATGATGAGTGATCAGGAATTCAAGGGTCACACTAACACAGATTTCTAGTCCTAGGGTAGAAAGACCAGCTCCAGACTGCACAGGGTGGGTAAGGTGGAAACTTTTCTAACAGATGACTGTGTTCAGTTAGAACACCTTTAGGAACTAGGCAGAGAAGAGAGAAAATAGCAGATGCTTTTGGGTGAGAAGTCAAAGTTAAAATGCTGTTTATCATAAATTCCACTTCTGTCTAGGATATACAAAGGTGCAAAAACATTGCTCCCACCTTAAAATAAGAAAAAAAAATAACAAGTAACCTATAAAATCATAATTTTTCTTGAGCTCATCTGAGAGCTGAGATGGCAAGAAAACCAAGAAACCTGAAATCTAAGGAAGGACGGGCAACTCCTAGAGAACAGGGATGCAGCACAGTGCCTGGGCACAGGAGGGGAAGGCTGGGTCATAGAAGCAGGTAAGCAGAACAGTAAAATCCTCAACGTAGTGTTAATGCTTAAGTGTGGGTCTGTGTGAGAGCACAGAACTCCTCAGAGCCACAGACACAAGAGGAGTCCCAAACCCTGTGCAGGTGCTTCTCCATGGCCCTCCTTTGGGGGAGCTGGCAAGACAGAGGGACAGAGTTGTGCCTGTGGGGAAGGCACAAGGTGCAGTGCCTAAAGCTGCTGGGGGGTGGGAGGCAAGACCTGGCACCTCGTGGCACAGGTGTAGACCCAAAGAGGGTGGAGGAAGGATACAGAAAAAAGACACTAGCTCCAGGGGAGAGCAGGAAGCCATCCCAGGCAAATCCCATTTACCAAGACATTGCACTGAGAGGCACAGGAACTTCCCTCTTGGACGAGAGGCACCAAAGATGCAGAGTGGTGTTTGGCTGCCATGAAGAGGTCAGAGGGCTTGGGTAGAATCATTGAGACCCAGACACACTTAGGGCCTGCCTAAGACTGAGGCTGAAGCAGAACCATGGAGAGCTCCCTTCTCTGCTCACCCCCATGTCTTGACCAGCAAACTTGGAGCAAGAAGTAAGCTGTGGGCCAGGAGGGGAGGACCAGCGTGGCAAGGAAGGTTCACCCAGGGAAGGCTGGAAGCTGAGGGTGCAGCGGGACCTGGAGACAAACACCCCATCACTCTAGTCTCACCGTAAACCCAGGAAGATTCCGGTGGAAATCAAAGCCAGTGCTAAAAGAAGGGTAACCATAGAAACAACAAAAGACCCAAACACAGCTCAACTGCAGGCTAGATTGATGCAACTCCCACACTAACAGCCTAGCCGAAAGGCTGTGCCCATGAAGGAAACCAGAGTATGTCATTCCAAAATATGCCTTTTGACATAAAAAGTATTTTTGAGCTAAAGGCAATTAAGAAGCAGCAGACGAAGGAAGAGACAGAGAGAGTCTCTGTCCTTTGCTTTCTACCTAAAGACAGGATATAAATTCCTCTTTACTGGAGACAACTATTATTAACCAGAGATGGCACCAGAGAATCCGCAAATAAACCTTACCCCAGGGGTTTCTTCCCATCTATTCACCTTCCCACAATTTTCTGCCTTTGGAAGCCTAAGGCTGTTTTTCTTTGTCCTTTCATTTCTCTAGAAATTTATTATTCTTGGTTGAAGATGTTATATGAGCCAGAGTTCTAAGCTGTTGCCTCAAGTTACCTTTCACTGGGGTTTCTCCAGTGTGATGTGTGCTGTATACATTAATAAACCTGCTTATCTTTATTTTGTTAAACTTTGTTTTGTTACAAGGGTCCCAGCTATGAATTTATGAGGGTTGAGCAGACAGTATATTTCCTCCCTGACACTCATGTCAAAGAATAAATAATAATAATCTCCATCTTACTGTTCTACACATAATATCTGACATTAATTAAAAGTGTTGAGCAAAAAAAGCAAGTGAGGGAAAACAAAGCATGTTCAAGGGACAAAATGATCGATAGAACCAGACTCAGAGGTGGCCCAAATGTAACTGTGAGACAGAGATGTGTTAAAGGCTGTAGTGGAAAAGGTGGACAACATGTGAAAAGATGGAGAATTTCAGCAGAGAGATGAAAATTCTAAGAAAGAGTCAAATAGAACAATAAATACACAAACAAAAATCCCATGCATTTAACAAACCCATCATAAATTCAATACAGCCAAGGGAAAAAAGTCAGTGAAATTATGTGATAAGTCAATAAAAATTAACCAAACTAAAACACAAAGAAAATAAAGAGGGAAAATGCAATTTATCTCGTTTATTAATTATTCCCCTACATGCCTGTAGGCTCTCTGAACCTCAGTTTTATCTGCCTCTCTGGACCTCAGTTTTAATAAATGTCTCACTGTATGTGTTAGTCAGGGTTCTCTAGAGGGACAGAACTAATATATATATAAATAAAATATATTCTATTTTATATAAAGGGGAATTTATTAAGTATTAACTTACATGATCACAAGGTCTCACAATAGGCTGTCTGCCAGCTGAGGAGCAAGGAGAGCCAGTCTGAGTTCCAAAACTGAAGAACTTGGAATCCAATGTTAGAGGGCAAGAAGCATCCAGCATGGGAGAAATATGTAGGCTGGGAGGCTAGGCCAGTCTCACCTTTTCATGTTTTTCTGCCTGCTTTATATTCACTGGAAGCTGATTAGATGGTGCCCACCATATTAAGGGTGGGCCTGCCTTCCCCAGCCCACTGACTCAAATGTTAATCTTTGGTAACACCCTCACAGACACACCCAGGATTAATACTTTGCATCCTTCAATCCAATCAAGTTGACACTCACTATTAACCATCACACTATATATTCAATTTCATTCCCCTTCACCTTCCATGTATATCTGAGTATCACTGCAGGGATAAATACTAGCAAGTATGAATGGGAACCAGTTGAAGCATTACTTTTAACAAAAATAGCTAAAAGACATTTACTGTATATCCTGGTCAATAGGCCTCTCAAGGTAAGCAACAAACATATGATAGTTTGACCTCCAGAAAGAAAAGTGAGGGGACATTTACATGAATAGATTGTGTCTTATACACATCACTTAGCTCTTCCCTGTGTAGATTTGATTTTCCAAAAGTCCTTCACCAGGAGTCAGACCTGTGTCATTAACGGCCTTAGACAAACAAGCTTCTGTATTGTCAACTGTAATAAAGAAAATGTTTTCTAAAATCTCAACAAGACAATAAATGTGAAGAGCCAAAACAAGGTCTAGAACCAAATAGGTACCGAATAAATGGAAGTTCTTGGTACTGTGGCTACTATTTAAAGGTTATTTTTATTATACACTCATACTCTCAAACAACAAAGAGTGGCTAACCATCGCATATTGTACACAAGCTATAAAATCTCTATCTCTGGAGAGTAAGATAAATATCTGTCTGAAGTGGTTCAAGTAAACCCTCCCAGCAGGGCAACAGAGGCAACACCTCATGTCTAATGTGGGTCTCAGCTCTCTCATTCTAGAATCTTCCTACTCTGCTTCTGTGGCATCTAAAAGCCTCCTCTTCATTCACTTCTTGGGTAAGTGTACTCATGAGACAGGTTGAGAACATCCGAATATATTGTTCAAAAGAAAATCATGCCAATAGTTACAGATAAAATTTGGAAACATATATACCAGTCCACTTAACTATAAGAATAATACAATCCTATTTAGCCTCTGTACAGACAGAACAAATAAAATATTTTAATAACCTCGGCTGTTTAATAAAAATTAGTCAGCTAAACCTGAAGCTAAAACAGCTAAAATTACAATTTTGAGCCAATTCTCTCTTGCTCTTTGTACTTGCCGTACATTAAGTATGTAAGATTACATTTAAAAATAACTTTGTGAAAATGCAGTGCATTAATGGCCATATTTTGAACCAGTCATGTAAATATGAGCATAATAATTAATAATAATTAATTTTAACTGCAGAATAGCAGATTAATCACTTGTGCAAACTTAAACTTGCACATAATTTGTCACTGTTGATGTCATGAAAGCTCTAGAGTAACTTTAATCCATGCACCTGCATTTAAATTATTTAATGATATTTTACATCGTATTAATCAAACATGATTAATCATCGTATAGGAGAGAATAGAATTTTGGCTCGTATAGTACTTTTCATAGTTGGGATTGCACAAAGTGTTTAGCAAATTAATGACTTAGGTGTGCAGTGACTGGTAAATCCTATAAGGTCATGGCCCCATTATCACTCACAGGCAACCATTGGTTGTAGAGCTCATTTTACTATTGCAATAAGGTCTTTTAATGTCAACATTTATAACAACCATGGAAGGAATAGCAGGAATTCTTACAATACCTCATTAAGTAACAAAGCTATGACAATGCAAAAAAAAATCAGACTGGAATTTAATCAGCACTGAAATTCCCACTCTATGGCTCCAGAGGCATAGAGAATGTTGGAAACTCTTGATCAAGGGTGAAGCTTCTCCTCTTTCTTGTTCATGATAACATCCAACTCAACTGATTGCTCACAGTATTGTCATTTCTTTATTTAAAAAATAATTGCAGAATTTTAATTACCACTGAACACATAATTTGAGGGAATTTTATTGGTGTAGCTTACACACTGAAAAGTGCACACATCATAAGAATATGCACAATTGAAGTGCAAAAAATGATAATTTTCACAAAGCAATCACCTCTGTGTCACCACTGCCATGACCAGGAAATAAAACATTGCTAGCAGCTCAGATACTCCCATGCCCTAGAAGTCACTACCCTCACCAAAAGCATCCACTATTCCGTCTTTCACACTTGAGATGAGTTTTGCATTTGAAAATCGCAATGAAACAATCTTGTTTTTTGAATGCACCACAGTGTCCTCGTTCTGCTCTTCATATGCATTGGTTGTTTTGCCTTCGGAGTTGTTATGAAGAGTGTCACCATAAACATTCTTGTACACATCTTTTTATGAACACTTGTCCTCATTTTGGTTGGATAGATTCCTAGGAGTGGAAATGTGGGTGATACCGAATGTGTATGTCCCATTTTAGGAGAAACCACCACACATGGGCTACACATGCCAAGGTTTCCACCAACAAGGGTTGAGCATTCAGGCGGCCCCTGTCATTGCCACGGCCTGCCATTGCTCACCAATGTTGACTCAGCAGTTCTGGTTGGGGAGCAATGAGGTCTCATTTGATTTTAAGCTGCATTTCCCCATGACTAGTGATGTGGGACATTTTTTATATGCTTATTGGTGACTCATGTAGCCTTTTTTGTAAAGCACCTGTTCAGTTCTCCAGGTTTTATTTCTATAGCATTGACTGTCATATTTAATAATTTTTAGAACTTTGGCTGGGCGCAGTGGCTTACACCTGTCATTATAGTGCTTTGGGAGGCTGAGGTGGGTGGATCGCTTGAGGCCAGAAGTTGGAGACCAGCCTAGGCAACATAGTGAGACCGACCCCATCAAAACAACAACAACAAAAGTTTAAATTAACTCGGTGTGGTGACATCTACCTGCAGTCCCAGCTACTCAGGAGTCTGAGGCAAGAGGATCACCTAAGCCTGAAAGTTCAAGGCCGCAGTGGGCCATGATCACATACCACTGCACTCCGGCATGGGCGGGAGAGTGAGACTTTGTTTCAAAAATAAATAAATACTTAATTTTAAGAACTGCTTTACATATTCTGCATGCAATTCTTTTGTGCCACGTGGATTACAAATATCTCTACCCAGTCTGTAGCTTGCTTTTTCAGTCTATTAATGGTGTATTTTGATGAAAGTTCTTAATTGCAATGAAGTCCAATTTGTGAATTTTTCCCTCATACTCAGTGCTTTTGGAGTCCTTTTAAAGAATTCTTTACTCATCCCAAGGGCACGGAGATACCCTTGTCTTTTCCTTTAGAAGTGTTTTGTATTCCTTTCACATTTAGATCTGTAACCCACCTGGCATTAATTTTTATGAACGATGTTTGATAGGGTCCAAATAGTTTCATATTAGGCAAACAATAGTGAACAAACCACAGTACCTGACTTCAAAGACCTTGATTTCTAATGAGAGAAGCAGACAATTGACCAATTAATTACAATAGAGTAGATAATTCTAAGTGATACTATAATAAGAAAAGGAAATGGTTATTTTAAAAACTACTCTTTGAGTTTGGATTTATAGGCCTAAGGAAAATGCCTTAATTGGTTGGTCTCATAATGGCAGGCAAGGTTTCCTGACATAGGTGATTTAGACTTCTTTAGAGAAACAAGAGCCAAACTGCTCTGCATAATAATTAACACGGGTGTTCAGTCTTCCCCTGAGAGAAGTAAAACCAGAGAATGGTTTGTTCTAAAATAGTAGCATAAGGGTGTTTCATCAGCAGTGGTTTCTGCAGCCACAGGCCTAAGAAGGATGGCCCCTGACTAATCACCTGTAGCAGGAAAAGCAGTGATGTTTAATATTCTATTTCCAGTGTTCCCTTTTACAGACTGCCATATAATCTCCTTCATTCATGCTTACAGACTGAGTAGGTGTGTGTATATTCGACAGTCTAGAAGAAGGTGGGTTTGTTTAAGTTTTCTTCTACCTTCTCTGTGTCCTCCACATTGTCTTTTTTCTGTTTGTTTCAACAACTATCTTCCATAGTAAAAGAATTTACACAATGCCCAGTGATCTCTGGCTGGCTAAACCCTCCATTCCTTTGTCCCTGTCTAGTTTTGGGATACCTGGTCAAGCCACAGTCTTTATGTAGAGCAACGGCAGCTGTGCCTTTGACACTGACAGGAAATCACACAACCAACCTGAGTGTTGTCATTTCAAACATTGACAATCACAACACAACTGCATCCTGATGGTGGCCTGGCAATCATTGTAATAACGTTATAATTCTATATTCCACTTCCCTTATCTGTTCTCTAGACTCTCACTTAATAGCTCTCCTCTACAGAAATCTTCACTACCTCCCACGGCCTCATCACCTTCAGATGATGACTGTGCCTTCTGTTTACTGGGAAAATTGAAGAAATCAGAAGAGAACTTCTGTGTCTTCATAGCTTCCCACGTAGCACCACCAGTAACCATCCATTCTAAGTTCCCATCTATACCTATAGATACATTATCCCTCCCCCTGTGCAAAACCAATCACTTGTTCGTAGAGGTCATCCTCTCTTGCCTTTGCAAAGACACAGCTCCTGGAACCCTTCTTTTTTATTCCCACATTATTTCATTTTCTCTCTCTCCCCTATCATTCCCTCCAGCATGCAAACATGCTATCATACCATCTTTGCAAACATAGCTCCTCTGATTTACTTTTTCTACCAGCTAAGATTATGCTCCCTTTTGCAATATAATTCATTCAAATAATCACCCATACCTTTTGTGTGAAGTTCCTCTCACTCTATTCTTGTTGAACCTTCTCCAATGAGGCTTTCATCTCACCCTACCTCCATACTCCAACCAAACTGCTCTTGTCCAGTGCACCAACGATGACCTGCCTGTGAAGTTTCATGGCTAATTCTCACTCCTCATATAAAGGAGTTGCTATGCCTTCTTAGCTGAAGCACTGCTCTCATTTAGCTTCTAGGACACTGCCCAGGTCTGCCCCTTTTCCCCTGAACTCATTGATCCCATCTCCTTGGGCTTCTCTGCTTTTTCCTGCTCTTGTTCCCAGCCTCTTGCTTGCTGGTGCCTCAAGGTGTGAGCCTTCTTCAGCCCTTTGCCATCTATGCTCTGGCCCCTCAAGATCACATCTAGCCTCATGCATTCTTTAAGAACATCCACATGCAAATGGTGCTCAGATTTCATCCCCAGCTCAGATTTCTTTCCTGGAGCTGGACGTGCTCATTAACTCTAGTCCGTTTGCCTGCCTGGTTTTCTGATAAATACCCAGCTTATTACTTCTAAAACGGAGGTGTTGTCCTCTCCCTTCTATCTGATCCTACTGTAGTACTCATCACACACTCTCCATTGATCAAAATTCTGTTCAATTCGTCCTGTAGGAAGGTTAAAACCTTATTTTCATCCTTATCTTATTTTTCTCAACTCTTGTAATCCAAACTATTGAAGGACACTTGTCTTTTCCTTCAAGATGCAGAATGAGAGCACTTACAACCTGAAGGTCTTTGTTCTGTCTGTGGCCATACCACCCTGAACGCACTGGATCTCATCTGAAGGTCTTTGCTCTCACTCAAGACATCACCATCTCCCCCTGCGTCATGTTACCTGGGCTCCAGTGTCTTAGTCCATTTCCCGTTGTTTATGACAGAATATCTGAAACTGAGAAAGTTATTTTAAAAAGGAATTTTTTTTATACATATGGAGGCTGAGAAGTCCAAAGTCTAGGGCCTTCTTAATGATGGAGATTTTACCAAAAGTTATCTCCTCAACTAGAGGTCTACACTAAGCAGTTTTTTTTTCTTCTCAAAATTCCAACCCAACCCCTCAAAACCCAACATTTAAGATACCTCTTACCCTATTTTTTTCTTAGCACTTATCATTTTCTGGAATACCATATAATTTACTTACATGTTATATTTATAATTAATTATGTAAAAAGTATCCTCCATGAGGGCTGGAATTTTTTTAAATTGATTTAACACAAGTTGGTGGACTAGTAGGTGCTCATTAACCTTTAGTGAATGAATGTGTATTCCAGGACAGAAGATAGGCTCACAGAGGAGGATTTTAACTGTACTATAATAGAGACTGCTCTGTTGTCTACCTAATTTAAGAAATAGCAGCAGCTTTCATTTAAGATGAAAATTAATGTCAAAATCCAATAAGTATTTTATTATATTAAATTATATGTGCACACAGCAGAAACACACTCAGATAAACGTTGATGAATTTTATTCAACTTTAAAATTTTGCAAGTTTAACGAAGTATTTAAGGATTGGATACAGAGATAAATAACTTAGGTTGATTCTACCTTGTGAGTAAAATGATGATTTTAGTTTTTTTAGTATGCTGGATGCTTAAGTAATTTAATTTTAGTTCTATTTTAATTGGAGTAGGTTCTGCTTGTAAATGCTACATGTTTCACTAGACAAAATAGGGGTCATTGTTTCCTTCACAAGGTCATTGAATCCATTCAGACTCAGATTCAACAACATACAATATTTCTAAACCTGTCTAAATGGTGTCCACAGGTCACATTTAAAACATTGAATTTATTGACTAGCTTTGTGAGAAAAAGTTGAGTCATTTATTTAGTTTTTTATTTCTTCAGTGATGCATTCTTTTTTGTGACCTTCTGGTCCTTTAGTCCTTGTTACTCGCTTCAACAATGTCCTTCAATAGTTTGGATTACGAGAGGTGAGAAAAATAAGATAAGGATGAAAACAAGGTTTTAACCTTCCTACAGGACTACTTGCTACACAATGATGTTTTCATTGTGTAGGTATTAAAATATATGTATTTATACACATATATAGGAATTTTATGTTCAATTAATTATTAAACTCCTTGAAGGAGTAATACGGACTACGCATCTTTGTATTTTTCCATTCCTAGAGCTTGAGATGAGTACCCAATAAAGGTATTTGTCTTTATTGATCACTTGAAAACATTTAACTCACTTCTGTCCACCTGGTCTCAAAATTTAGCACACCACTCTAACTGATATGCCATGAAGACTGGTCACAGACAAAAGTGGGACTGTGTTTTGTTGATTTCCAAAGCCATTCGCCAGGAGCGCGGCCCCAGGAGCATTTTTCTCATCATGTGAATGCCACCGTTGTCAATCCACTCCATCCACAGGCAGACAGCAGCACAGCCAAGGTCAGGTGCAATGTGAGGGGGTCCCCACAGGGGTGATATCTACACATGACCGGACCTTTCATTAGAGGAATGAAGAAATTAGAAGACACTCAAAACTTAGAAGGACTTAGAAGTAATTTTATTGAGGCTGAAACAAAAATATCCTACAATTCTAAAAACAGTAAACTAGATGACATATTTTTCTGTTGCTTTTGAACAGAAAATGGGCTACTGTGTCAAAGAAAGTACAAGATTATTAGTGTCACCAAAACACAGAAGTGGAGAAGCATTTATCATTATTGGGTGTGTGCGTGTTGGTGAAGTTTGTGTGCACGTGTGTCTGTCTCACACAATCTGCATGTGTCTGTGTTGGTGTGTCTCTGTGTATGCCTGTGTCTCTGTGTATCTGCTTGTGCCTGTGTTGGTGTGTCTGTGTGTGTGTGTGCCTGTGTCTCTGTGTATCTCCTTGTATCTGTGTTGGTGTCTGTGCGTGTGTGTGTGTGTCTCTGTATCTGCTTGTGTCTATGTTGGTGTGTGTATATGTGCCTGTGTCTCTGTGTGTCTGTGTTGGTGTGTGTCTATGTGTGTGTGTCTGTGTCTCTGCATCTGCTTGTGTCTGTGTTGGTGTGTGTGTGTGTGTCTGTGTCTCTGTGCATCTCCTTGTGTGTGTGTGTGTGTCTGTGTCTGTGTTTCTGCTTGTGTCTGTGTTGGTGTATGTCTGTGTCTGTGCCTCTGTCTCTATCTCCATGTGTGTCTGCGAGTGTGTCTGTGTGTCCTCTATCTCTGTGTTGTCTCGCTGTATATGTCTGTGAGTGTGTGTGTGTCATCTGTATCTCTGTGTTGTCTCGCTGTGTGTGTCTGTGAGTGTCTGTGTTAGTGGGTGTGCTCAATTTGATACAAGTCATTTTATTTTGTGAAGATGTAAGTACTTCACTTTTCCTTTCCCAGTATCTGCAAATTTCAACTGAGATCTAATTTTATTGCTCAAAGTGAAACTGTTCTGACTAATATCTGATGCTTGATGTTAGCTATTCTCATTCTTGGAATTATTTAAAATTCCACTGAAAGTACAAACTTAAACTGAGATTTTTTTTTTTTTTTTTTTTTTTTTTTGAGGAACTCAAACATGCAGAATTGAGATCTGAAATCTGCTGGCTGGTGCAGATTATAGCCTAAGATAGGAAGTTGGGGTTTTGGTTGCTTTAATGGAGAGGAAATGACTCATGTCAATGCTAGTATGTAATAAAGCTCCTAAATTTAGCTTTCCTTTTAGTGTAAAACCTAATATTGATATAGTAATGTGAAACTTTATTTTACTAAACTACAATTTTCTTGCTGCCTCTTCCATCTGCCAGTCAATTATTACATCTTTCATTAAGATCATGTTAAGACATATTTAGTGTACATAAAAATGTCTTGAAAATCCCAGTTGACTTCACAGTACACGCTAACTTTGGAAGCGTTGTGCAACCAACTAAGTCCAAACAAAGGGCCCTGTGTCTATTTGAATTTTGAGACAAAACACAAAGTTCTCGGGGATTAGTATCATGATTAAATATATCCCTTGACACTTACAGAAAGTGTATATATGTTTACAGACAAAAGGTGTTTCAAAAGTAGAATTACTGTTATCGTTCCCATTTCTTATTGTTATTATTTGCCAGGATGTCATAAGGTACAGTAATAGGGGATGAAAACAAATCTTCGTGTAAAAATCATAACTTTGTACTCTTACTGGAAACTGGGGGAAAAAATGAAAGAGTCCAGGTAGGGATTTATAGAGAGAGCATTTACAAATTCTTTATGGATTTTCACTAAATGTTTACTAACTGCTCTGGACACGTATGCTGAGGTCTCTTCACAACAGTGCACCTGAGAAACACAAAGATTAAGAAAATAAGAGACCATTTTTATGTCAGAGCTTTTTTGCTCTTTGTAGTAATTTAGACGACCCAACCACAACCACAGGAGACTCCAGCAGGAACTACGTAGAATGAGGCAAAGGTGCTCTCTCTTTGAGGAAGGAAGGAAGGGGTTGGTTTTATGCCTCATGGGGTCTTATTACACAATAGACTCACACATGGTCTGCAAGTTTGGGGGAAAAGCTATACATATTTAAGAGGAGAGTGGAACGCATGTGCAATGGGTGAATGTGTATGTAACATACATCCCGTGTTCACTTTGGGGCAGGGTTTCAGCATTAAAATGAGGTGGGATTAGCCCTTTATGTCAACAGATGAACTGCAGGAAACAAAAACAGTTTGTGCACAGCCTCTATAAGCTGCTGAAGCTGCCTTCAAGTCTGCCATTGTTTATCAGAAAAGAATGTTTGTAAAGCTATCAGAATGGTAGTGGTCTGGGTTGCAAATCAGAGCTTTGAGGGGTCTGATAGCAACCATTGTGAGGGAGCTTAGCGAGTGTGGTTTGTTTTGTACCTGTGTAAATTTGGAAATTTGCCACACCAGCCAGGCTCTGAACCTTTGAGACATAGGTAACTCCGTTCCCTTTAGCTTAGGGTCCATGTTTGTCGATATAGGGGTGTCTATTTCGATCTCTCATATCACAGACATGATGATATTGTGGCAGCTGTACCACATCCCTGCCACAGAAGCAGCTGTTCTATCAAGACAAGGACCTGCCATCCCTGCCGCTGCATTGGTTAGAATAAGTCAGTCACAGGTCTCACCACTCTAGAGGAGGCCACCACTCTAGGATGGGATTCCTGCGGTCGCTTCTCAGCGTCTCTCACCATCTAGACAGCACAAGTCATAGGGGCATGGAGCCCCCGATCGCAGGTCTGCAACTGAATTTTGCCCGTAGATCATTTAGTGGGAGAGTCAAAGTGCCAAAATAAACATTGTGTTACACGCAGATTCCACAATATTTATTTTTTGACTCATAATCCATTTCTTTCCTTATCGAATGATCATTATCTCATTGTAATTAACAGTTGCCAATGCTCCCACTTGTACTTTTTTTTTTCCTTGTGAAGAAAACCATCCCATAAATAGCAAGTGCAAAGTGGTAGTGCCACAGTGGAGTTACTGTTTTTTCCCCCTTCTTGTACATGAAGAAAATTTTACATCTGTAGTTGATGCCTTTACTGGCTTCTCAATTAGTGGAAACAAATTTGTCATTGCAGACAGTAGCTCCAGTGACTTGTGGCTAATGGATTCACCCTTTGAGCAGAACTTTATGATCCAAAACAGCCTATCCCACACTTGTGTTTTTCAAGCTATTGATAGGTGCACCTTGAGTGAAGGGGATGGAGGTGGGAGAGGGAGAGATGTCAGAATCAAAAAACATTGTGAAATCTTGAGATTTTGTTTGTTTTTTTTTTAAGTTAAAAAGATTTCTCAACACTTTACACTGATGTGTTTTGTGAAATGTTCAGAGGTGGATATTGCTTTCCGTATAGATTGTTCAACAAAATTTGAGGCCATTATTTTGGACTAAACTCCTGCGATCGCAACAGACCAGACAAATCATAGTGGGGTCACCCAGGCTTACCAAACCCAAACCCAAACTGAGCAGTTCTCTGCCCTCTGAGGAACCAGGAGAGAGATAGCCTAACTTCCTGAACAGGACAGGTTTAGTCTTCAATGGGCAGGATAATGAAGTTCCCTGTGTTTAAATCCTTAATCTGAAGTCACATCATGTGAACTCATCAGTTTTTCTATTGTTTCTTCTTTCTGGCCCCAGTTGTTACAGGAAAGCGATTCTGATCCAGACCCCAAGAGAGGGTTCTTGGATTTCGCGTAAGGAAGAATTCAGGGTGAGTCTGCAGTGCAAAGTAAAAGCAAGTTTATTAAGAAAGTAAAGTGGTGAAAATACGGCTACTCCACAGACAGAGTAGGACAGACCCGAAAGTAAGAGGAGGAATGTGTCCACCCTAGGTACAATACTTGTATATGTAGGATAAAAAAGATCATGAAGAGATAAGCTCTGCTACAAGGGTTTGTGATAAAGGATTAATTTTCTCAATTACTATATTTTGCAAGAATCGATATTATTATCTTTAAAGCAAAATTAGGAATGCCTTTGTTCTCCAGATATCGGGATATCTAGACACTCCCGAGTCTGGGTCTGCTTAATAAACATCTAGAAGCTAAGGATGCCTGACTTTCTGGAAATGCAGCTCAGCAAGTCCCAGCCTCGTTTTCCTAGTCCTCACTCAAGATGGAGTCGCTGTGGTTCAAATGCCTCTGACACAGTGGCTTACAAGGAAAGTAACTTGGAAGCACCCAATACACTTTTTATTCTTTGTTTCTCTTTCTTCAGCCCTTTTTCTATCTGTAAAGCCAATCTCCTGTGTTCAGTTCATTGGAACACATATTCCATTTTAGAGAATATAGTGCTGCCTGATTCTAGGATGTCAATAAAGCCAATTGGCATCTTGGAACGGAATTTGTTGTCATTTTGTCTTTTGCAAGATGAAGGTTTCTTGAGCAAAACCATCATGGTGGAGGGGCTTCCGCACAGTGCCTGTTGATGAAATCAAGAGCATGAGGGACTCCTTCAGGAAAATCCTTCAGAGATCTAATTAGAAAGAAACCTGTCCCAAAGCTTGGCACATTAGTGATGCAGGCTACATATTTATTTCCTATAAATTCTGAATTGTAAACTTGGTAACAAATAGTAACTGGACTTCAGAGTCTGGTGACCTTTAGAGGCTGTTGACTGCAAGTATTCATGGATTAACTGTGCTGAGGCTGGAGGGTACAGTGACCCAAGGTTAACTACATGAGCCAGGGCTTTCGCAGCTTCCTCATTTTGTTGACTCTGTACCAGGAAACCAAAGCTCCTTCCTCTGAAATGAATGGTTCTTATTTGCATAATGGCCTCCTTTTGTTCACTTTGCAGAGGCAGTTGATTACATTAGAATACTTCAAACACAGCATTGATCTATCAGGCTAATAATTTTCTGATAAGGCCCATGAATTTTCCCTCTGACCTTTTTTGCTAATGACCACGGTCTGTGAATTGTGGAATGAAGCGTATGGGTTGTTTGTGTCTGCAGATTCTAGAAGACAAAACATTACAACCTATATAATAAACCACAATTTTAAAAGCTGGTTCTTTGTTTGAGTTGGAGCAGGTTAGTCTGCATTCGGTAAAATCTAGCTTGCCCACAAATTCCGAAAAGCAGGTGGCTAAGTAAAATGTATAGGTTTATTCCTCTCACGCATGAGTCAAATCCAGAAGAGAGTGGTCCCAGCACTGTGTTTGAATCTCTGCACCCTGCAATCCCAGTTCCTTTTAGTGGTCACTTTGAAATGGCCTTTGCAAAATTATGACTGAGACAGTGAAAGAGATCTAACCTAACTGACTCCATCTTGCTTTTAACCTCTAAGCTGTCCGTGTTCCTTCCTGGGTGTAGGCTGAAGTAACTTTGGGAGGAACTTGGTTTATAGTGGTTTTTTTGTTGTTTGTTGGTTGGTTGGTTGGTTTTTCCAGACAGAGTCTTGCTCTGTTGCCCAGGCTGGAGTGCAGTGGCTCCATCTTGGCTCATTGCAACCTCCACTTCCCGGGTTCAAGCGATTCTCCTGCCTCAGCCTCCTGAGTAGCCAGGACCCACCACCTGGCCCCAGTTAATTTTTGTATTTTTAGTAGAGATGGGGTTTTACCATGTTGACCAGGCTAGTCTTGAACTCCTGACCTCAAGTGATCTGCCCACCTCAGCCTCCCAAAATGCTGGGATTACAGGTGTGAGCCACCATGCCTGGCCAGTTTATAGTTTATAGTTCAAAACAAAAACTATTAACAGCCCTTTCCCAAAACAAACCACCTTCTTGCCTGGGGACTAGACTGCCTTTGTAGAACTAAGAAATTACACACGAGATTGGAAATCATGATTTAGGAGTCAGGCAGCTGGAGGCTACAAGATTCTAACCCTCTCTACGCTGCTCCTAAGATCAGCGCTTGAGATATTTTGCAGCCCCTGCACTTGATGGATCAGCTGCCACCGCCAGCTCAATAAACTGGCTCATCTGATCTTGTGGCCCCCACCTGGGAACTGACTCAGCACAAGAAGACAGCTCCGACTCCCTATGATTCCCTCTCAGACCAATCAGTACTCCAGGATCCCTGGCTTCCCCTTACCCACTAAGTTGTCCTTAAAAATTCTGATCCCTGAATTCTCAGGAAGACTGATTGGAGTGATAATAAAAATCCTGCCTCCAGCACAGCTGGCTCTGCATAAATTACTCTTTCTCTATTGCAACTCCCCTGTCTTGAGAAATTGGCTCTGTCTAGGCAGCAGGCGAGGTAAACCCACTGGTTGGTTACAACTTGATTAGGTCAGATCCACCCAGGTTAATCTCCCTTTTTAAAAATAAAATGTTACCTCTAATCAAAACTAATCACAGGAGTGATAGCCGATCCTCTTCACAGCCCTAGATGATACAGGACTTGTACAGCAGGGAGAGGAATTTTGGGAGGCACCTTAGAATTCTGCTTGTCACAGCAGGCCAACAAATATGGTCTTTATTCCAGGTGGTATGTGCCATGCAAAATGTATGAAGAACCAACAACTCTGAGAGAGATGTAATCATAGTAGGTTTATTCCCCAATACATGCACCAAGTCCACACAGCAAGATAGGGGCTTGCACCAGAGTAAGAGATTTAATTGTACAGTCACTGAATGAGGAGACAGGAGGAAACCTCTAATCCATCTCCACAAAGAATTTAGGGTTAGGATTTTTCAGGGTTTTGGAATGGGCCAAAGTGAAAAGATCATTGACTGATCAATGAGTGCAAGAAGAAGCTGTATTCTCATGCTGAGTCCATTCCTCTGTGGCTCTTCAAATTGGTTGCCCAAATTCAGGTCTGAAGAACACCTTAAGCAATCCTTAAACTAAAGCCTTATAATTCTAATGTCAGAGATCCAGTTTATAGGGACAGTGGAATGCAAATGGCTGGTATCTAGTGCTATGTGACGTTTAGAAACATGGAAGTGGGCCAGCATGCAGCCTGATGAATGCTTAATTATAACCATATTTCTGTCTAGAACCTGGTATTCAATTCCTGTCAACCTGCTGGGGATGGTTTCAGATTATTGCTGTGGCTGTGGTTTCATTCACATTAGTGCTTAAAAGAATGGTAGCATCCTTTGCTGCATTCACTGAAAATTTTGGTTAAAGAAAAGAAGTGGCCAAGAAACATGGTCTTCCACTAATCACTGAGTGTTCTTCCCCAGAACTAGTGAGGTTTTAGGTGATGATTGACCTCTACAACAATTTTTAGGAGTCCTACATTTGAAATTTTTCATTCTTTGGAGACTTCGGAAATGTATTATTATTATTATTATTATTTTATTTTATTTTATTTTATTTTATTTTTGAGATGGAGTCTCTCTCTGTCATCCAGGCTGCAGTGCAATGGCATGATCTTGGCTCACTTCAACCTCCGCCTTCCAGGTTCAAGCCATTCTCCTGCCTCAGCCTCCCAAGTAGCTGGGATTACAGGCATGTGCCACCAAGCCTGGATAATTTTTGTATTTTTAGTAGAGATGTGGTGGTTTCACCATGTTGGCCAGGCTGGTCTCGAATCCCTGACCTCAAGTGATCTGCTCACCTCAGCCTCCCAAAGTGCTGTGATTACAGGCATGAGCCACCGCTCCCAGCCTGAAATGTATTACTTTCTTTATCCCCTTATGTTGTATTTTAACTTTAAATACCATTCTTCCATACCATACCAATTGCACCTTACTAAGGAAACATGAAAACTTAATACACATGAGATGAATAAGTAGTTTGATTGTTTGCTGAGAAATTCATTATTTCCTATAGAAGATTCTTTCTGAGAGAGTAGATTCATTAATTCCAAAGAAGGCTGCAAACATATATCCTACTGTATGTTCTTGTGTGTGTGACTTTGAAATTCCTTCTGTTGAGAGATGGGTGACATTTTCTCTACCCTTGAGTCCTGCTGGTCTTTAGTAGCTGTGTGGCTCAGTAGTGTCTGTGTAGAAGAGAGCACAGTACTTCTAGCCAACTCTCTCAGAACCCTCATTTCTGGAGTGCTGAACCCCCATGTCAGATGTCTGAATCTACTGAAGCCTCCATGTTGTGAGGAGGCCCAAGATAGCTCATGTGCAGAGACCACATGGAGAGAACCTGAGATAGAGCCACCCAGCAGGCCCTAGTTGCTCCAGCTCCTTGTTGTTACAACACCAGCCACTTTGTGACTACAAATATGTGAGCATGCATGTTTTCATTTGTGTTGTGTTTATGTGTGTACTCACATATTTACCTGTATGTGAGTCTAAGCCCTGCCCAGACCACTGCAAGGGGAATTTGTTAACCAGGAAAAACTTACTGGAACTTTCCTTTGGTAAGAGCTGGCAAATTTATTGCTCTGGAAGTCATATAGAAAGCAAGCAAGATTACTGTAGACATTTTCAAAGCAAAATACAGGATGCATTTGCTATTTTAGTCAGCCCAGTATCTTTTTTTTTTTTTTTTTTTTTTTGAGACGGAGTCTCGCTCTGTCGCCCAGGCTGGAGTGCAGTGGCGCAATCTCAGCTCACTGCAAGCTCTGCCTCCCTGGTTCACGCCATTCTCCTGCCTCAGCCTTCTGAGTAGCTGGGACTACAGGCGCCTGCCACTACGCCCGGCTAGTTTTTTGTATTAATTTTTAGTACAGACGGGGTTTCACCATGTTAGGCAGGATGGTCTCGATCTCCTGACCTTGTGATCCACCTGCCTTGGCCTCCCAAAGTGCTGGGATTACAGGCTTGAGCCACAGCGCCCGGCCTAGTCAGCCCAGTATCTTATAGCTGTTGACGACATTCTGGGGATATGAATGTAGCTTACAAACGCTAGTATTTCTACAGAAAGCAGAAATAATTTAACTGTCATTTTCACATTTATATTTAATAAAATCAACTTTGGATCACAATGTGAGGTGAGAGGACTACTGCTACAATGTTATATAAATGTATACATTAATATTTATGCACCAAAAAGATTCGAGTGACTGTGAAGTGAAATAAGATAAGGAGTTGTGAAAAACAAGCTAATGATCATTTAAAATTTTAATGCAGGTATACCTCAGAGACATGGCAGGTTTGGGTCCAGACACTACAATAAAGTTAATATTGTAATAAAGCCAGTCACACAAATATTTTGGTTTTCCACAGTATATATGTTATGTTTACACTATACTGTAGTCTATTAAGTATGCAATATAACTGTGTCTAAAAAGATGTACATACCTTAATTTAAACATACTTTATTGTTACAAATGCTAACGATCATCTGAGGCTTCAGCTAGTTGTAATCTTTTTGCTGCTGGGAAGGCTGAGGTGACTGTGGCAATTTCTTAAAATAAGACAATGAAGTTTCCTACATTGATTGACTCTTCCTCTTACAAAAGACTTCTCTGTAGCATGCTGTGCTGTTGGATAGCATTTTACCCATAGTAGAACTTCTTTCAAAATTTGAATCAGTCCTCTCATCTCCTGCCACTGCTTTATCAACTGTGTTGATGGAATATTCTAACTCCTTTGTTGTCATTTCAACAATGTTCTCGGCTTCTTCACCAGGAATGGATTTTATCTCAAGAAGCCACTTTCTTTGCTCATCCATAAGAAGTGACTCCTCATTCGTTAATTCTGCTAGCTTTAAACTTTTCTTCTGCAGTTTCCCTGCTTCTTTCAGTCTTCACAGAATTGTAGAGAGTGAAAGCCTTCCTCTGGATTAGCCTTTGGCTTAAGGGAATGAGTGGCCAACTCGATCTTCTATCCAGACCACTCAACTTTCTCCCTATCAGCAATAAAGCTATCTTACTTTCTTTTCATTTCTGTTTTCACTTGAGTAGCACTTTTAATTTCCTTTAATAACATTTTCTGTGCATTCACAAATTGGCTAAATGTTTGGCACAAGAGGCCGAGCTTGTGACCCTTCTCAGCTTTCAGTATGCCTCCCTCACTAAACTTATTTCTAGCTTTTGATTCGAAGTAGAGACAAGGGATTCTTCCTTTCACTTGAACACTTTGAGACTATAGGTTATTAATTGGCCTAATTTTAATATTATTGTGTCTCAGGAAACAGGGAAGCCTGAGCAGAGGGAGAGAGCTGGGGAACGGCTGTCTGATGGAGCTCTCAGAACACACACAACACTTCTCGATTAAGTTTGCTGTTTTATATGGGTGCAATTTGTGGCACCTCCAAACAATAAGAATAATGTCAAAGATCACTGATCCCAGATCATAGTAGCAAATATAATAATGAAAGAGTTTGAAATATTTGAGAATTAACCAAAATGTGACATGATGGCATGCAGTGCGCACCTGCTGTTGGACAAATGGTGCTGATAAGTTTGCTTCATGCGGGGTTGCCGCAAACCTTCACATTGTAAAACACCCATTATCAGGGAAGCACAAGAAAGCAGACTGCAGTAAAGCAAGGCGGGCCTGTATGTAGCAAACAAAATAACTGCAATTTTAACAAATGCATACTTTCAGAAATTTTGATATTGCTTGCTTTGAGACATACCTCTATTCGTATATTATTTCTTCTGGTTTAATATCTCCAGGAGTTTTAGAGTTACGCGCAACTAACATTTGTTTGCGGATCTATGCACTTGGTCCCTTATTCGTTGACATATCTCTCATTTAAGATTTTTTTTTTTATGAAGTGGATTCTTTGTTTGGTATTCATATCTTCCAAATGGTAATCCAGAGATAATGAATGAAGGGGTTTTTGTGAGTGCCAGTACTTGACACTCACATCAAGGTTAATGTGGGTCAGTCAAAACTCCCTTGTGTATGTGTACAGGTTTTTCTAGGAAAGGGTGAGGGGCTTGGGCTTCTGTCTTAAACAGCAATGCCAGAATGTCCCTGCCACACAGCAAGTAGGTTTTTGTCCAAAACGACTTATTAAAGAGTTGAAAGATATTGTTCTTGAAATCTATTTTTAACAGTCTGTGTCTGCAGTGACCTTAAACATATGACAGATGACAAAATGTAATCTCTTTTGAAATACTGTACGTGCCCACTTCATGCATTTTAAACACAGGGCCACTCCGAGCGCAGAGTGTCCCCTGTCAGCAAATGTGCTGTCAGCTGGTTTCCGTGTAGATTTCTTCTGCAAAGTTTCCATATGCATGCAAATATTTACTTCCTTTCTGATTCACAATCATTACAGTTATGGGAATCAAGTGCAGCAGCAACATTACATGCAAATAGGAGAAGAAAGGACAGACAGGAGTGGTGGGAAGGGACGGTGGGGGAAAAGGAGCGAAAGGAACCTTGACACCACAACTGCGGCAGGAGATACTGACCAGGTGAGAGCACAAAGGAAGCAGCTGGAGGCCCGTGGGCACCCCCTGGAAGACCAGTGCAACCCTGGTACTTCTGTGACTCTGCCACAACACACAGACATGCACTGAACGCTGTTCATTTCATGCATTGTAAATTTACTTCTCCATATTCTTTTATTACTATTTCAACATTTAAAAAGGTCATTCTTGGCTGGGCGCAGTGGCTGACGATTGTAATCACAGTATTTTGGGAGGTTGAGGCGGGCAGATCACCTGAGGTCAGGAGTTTGTGACCAGCTTGATCAACATGGTGAAAACTGTTTCAACTGAAAATACAAAAATTAACCAGGTGTGGTGTCGCGTGCCTGTAATCCCAGCTACTTGGGAGCCTGAGGCAGGAGAATCACTTGAACCTGGGAGGTGGAGGCTGCTGTGAGCCGAGATCATGCCACTGCACTCCAGCCTGGGTGACAGAGTGAGACTCCATCTCAAAACTAAGAATAATAATATTTCTTTTAGACTAATTGTGTATCTAGGAAAATAAAGATGGATTAAATAAATCTTCTGAAATTAAGTGCGCTTAAGCGCTTTGTTTTGCAATTTTCAAAACATAAAACATATAAAAATATAAAGAGAGTTCATAACGTTTTTCAAGTAAAATCCCTGTAGGGTATTTATATGTAACTATATTTAAATTATTAACAAATGTAAACGGTGTTTTAAAAATATTAGAAATAAGATGCTTAGAAATAGTTTATTTGTGTACTCTCAGCACTTTCTGTGTATTTCTGTTCTTTAAATTATCTGCCAAAAAAAAAATTATTTGGGTAATGAGGGTAAAGAGAATAAACATTTCTTGAACACCTCTCTCTAGAACTTTGCATTTATCATCTCAATTACTTTGAACAGTAAACAAATTTGGAATGTGAGGCTCCAGGAGGTTAAGTGATCTGCCAGCATCACACACAGCATGGGAAGTGGTGGGGCTGACGGGGGTTTCCAGCTTGGTGTCACCCCACATGCCCTGCTCCTCGGGACCCAGCCCTGCTGGAGCCAGCATTGCCCAGCCAGCACCTCCTCAGCAACATGTGCTGCTTCTAATACTGAGATGGGCTCCTGTCCCAAGACCTGCCCTACATCAAAAATAAAATTAAATAACTAAGCACAGCTCAACATTTGTTTTTTGTTGAATCATAAAGTATAATTATTAAATATATTGCTAGTTTGTTTTCATTTTTGTTAGAAAGTTTGTCAAACTAATATGAACATTTTATGCATGAAGACAAGTTAGACTTCTTTTTTTTTTTTTTTTTTTTTTTTTAGACAGGATCTTGCTTTGTCACCCAGGCTGGAGTGCAATGGCATGATCTCAGCACACTATAACCCCCGCCTCCAGGGTTGAAGCGATTCTTCTGCCTCAGCCTCCTGAGTAGCTGGTATTACAGGTGCCCACCACTAAGCCCAGCTAACTTTTTGTAGTTTTAGTAGAGACGAGGTTTCATCATGTTGGCCAGAGTGGTCTTGAACTCCTGACCTCAGGTGATCCACCTGCCTCTGCCTCCCAAAGTGCTGGGACTACAGGCGTGAGCCACCGCACCCAGCCCTAGACTTCATTTCTTGAGTGAAATAGAAATGAAGTCTTCTTTTCAATATTGTTATATAATAGTCATACCTCCTCATCAACATACACCAAGAGCCATTCAACTTACTTTCAGAAGTGTGTGGCATAAGAGGGAACCATTAGCTTATTTGCTTGGCTACTAGAGTCAACCCTTCTTTAGACAGAAAAAGAGATAGGCAGGGGTGGGAGAGCAAGTAATCAGGTAATTAGAATAAACATATTTAACTTTTTAATCTGAAAAATATATAAAAAGTCATGTTATTCCATTCTACTTCAGTTTTCTAGAAGAAACTGTCATCAAGTGAATATGCGATTCTTGAATGCTAAGGTATCTTTGCATTTAGTTATAACATGGTATAATATATTTTTATTCTCCTATATAGTGGGTTGTGCTCAATATATACACAGTGACTATCTTCCTGTCTATAGCTGTCTGTATATGTATCTCATAGTAGCAGTAAGCTAGTGTTTAATCAGAAGAATCATAATTTCCTGTATCTGTTTAGAATTTCATAGATAAGGGCATTTTTACGTGCATTATCTCATATGTAAACTAAAGCAATTTGATTTACTTTCTTCACTGAACACTTTTCACCAAATCTACAACAATCCATCTCATGGATGGACAGAAATAAGGAGGTGTCAATAACTGAGCAGTCGGTAACTCTGGCCTGGCCCAGCGATGGAATGAACCTTGTCTCGGCAGCCTCGCACTGGTTACAGGGGTGGCCTTAGGAGGAAGCGATGGATGGGGGCAATGTCCAGAGGTGAATCCTTCTGGAGCTCAGCCACCCCTACCTGACAATGTGAGGGAGGTGGAGGAGGAACTCACATCCTCCTCCAGATATTCACCTGGCTTAGGGACTTGCAGAACGTTACCACCGAGTCTACTTAGAAAGCTGCCCAAGCCCTTCATCTCCTCCCCAAGAGGAAACTAAGACTCTCACCCAGTCTTGCACAGGTAATTAGGAAAACACAGAATTTGACCACAAGTCTCAAAACACCTTTCCCCTGGGAAAGTATTATTTTATTTTCTTGTGAGAACACACACTCACACACACACACACTATATATATATATATATATATATATATATATATATATATATATTCTATCTATATTTATCTATCTAATCAATCTCTTTTTAAAATTCTTTGTAAGCCCAAGAGAAAGGTAGAGATTAGATTTGTTTGCTGATGTTCCTTTATCTTTCTGAAGACCAAGAAACTTTTAATCTGAAATCTATGTGGCAATGTATATTCAATGTGGGGAAAAAACAGGATTTATGCTTTGCCTGGCTACTATTGTGATAGATCTGGTGATCAAGAAGGAGCAAGAAAAGGCGTTTAGTCCTCATCTCAGCACGAAAGTTCCTCCAGGGAATAAACCCACCTCCAGCCAACCCACCTCTCATCGAAGAGCTCACGAAGTGGAGTGATGTCACTAACCTGCAGGCTTCCAAGCCACTTCTATCAAGTCATGGTAGCAGATGCATTTTTATATTTTTAAGATCATTCTTGGCAACCACATGATACAGCAGGTGTGGCTGTTATAAACATGGTAATTAACTTTGGTCAATTATTTCTTAAAGTCTAGAATAATCTGTTCCATTTTTAATTATAAAGTCCTTTTTTTATAAAGTTACATAACCACAGAAGAGAAAGCTAGGAAAACCTCATAGTTCCACAACCATAGCAAACCAAATAGCATATTTATCTAGAAAAATTTTATCTGTGTATATTTATATCCCTGGGGACCTCTGGCCCTTGGTAACCTCTCAGTACCATCACAGAGGTCTAGTCTCCTCATGAGCTTTTCTACCTTTAGATCTTGCACCAATGCCTCTGATTTACCCTGTGTCAACCCAGATGTAAAACTCAACTCCTCTCCTCACTCCCAGGTGGCCCACCTGCCCCAGGCACAAGCACCATCAAGCACAAATCCATTCTGTCTCTACTGGGTACTTAGGAATTGTGCCATTTTGTAACCATCGAGCCCGTGACACTATAAAGACAACATTCAAGCACCGAGATCAGAAAGTTTCATAATTAACCAAAGTCCATGCGACATTTAACTTTGTTTGATATTTAGACTCTGATTTTCCTTGTATAGATGTTATTGTGCCTAAAATTTGTTGTAAATTTCTTTTTCCTCCCTCCCTCCCATCCTTCCTTCCTTCCTTCCTTTCTTCTTTCCTCCCTCCCTTTCTCCCTCCCTCTTTCTTTCTTCCTTCCTTCCTTTCTTTCTTTCTCTTTCTTTCTCTCTCTCTCCTTCCTTCCTTCCTCTCTCCCTCCATCTTTCTTTATTTCTCTCTCTCCTTCCTTTCTTCCTCCCTCCCTCTTTCTTTCTTTCTTTCTCATTGTCTCCCTCCCTCCCTTTTTCCTTCCTTCCTCTCTCTCTCTGTCTTTCTCCTTCCTTCCTTCCTCCCTCCTTCTTTCTTTCTCTCTCTTTCTCCTTCCTTCCTTCCTCCCTCCTTCTTTCTTTCTCTCTCTGTCTTTCTCCTTCCTTCCTTCCTCCCTCCTTCTTTCTTTCTCTCTCTGTCTTCCTTCCTTCCTTCCTTCCTCCCTCCTTCTTTCTTTCTCTCTCTGTCTTTCTCCTTCCTTCCTTCCTCCCTCCTTCTTTCTTTCTCTCTCTGTCTTCCTTCCTTCCTTCCTTCCTTCTTTTCTTTCTTTCTTGCTATCTTTCTTTCTCCTTCCTTCCTATTTTTTTCTTTCTTTCTTTTCCTCCCTTCTTCCCTCCCTCCCTCCTTCCTTCCTTCCTTCCATTTCCTCTCTGTTTCTCTCTCTCTTTCTCTTTCTTCTTCTCTTTCTTATTCTTTGACAACAGCAATATGTTTGTTCACTTTATCCGTAAGTTTGCACTATTTATTTTAGGGGTTGCACTTCCACGTAATTTCCTTGGGGCCTTTTTATTTTACACCCTAGTATGACCCAGTTGTTTTCTCAGCCTGCTATACAGTTGAATTCTAAAATTTATTTTCTTTCATTCTTTGATTAAATCTATGATTTCTTGAATTCTATTTACTCTTCATTTTCAGATGTTTTGGTTGTTTTGTTTTGCAGTTGATTCTTGTTTTACACCACCACATGGGTGTAGGTCACCTGCTGGTGACCTACAGGTATATCTAGGTCTTCTGATTTGGGTTTCATGTTGTTTTCTAGACCTTAACTTTCTTTAGTGGGGCCTGTACATTCTTTAGTTTCCTCCAGGTGCTGCTGATTCTTATTGCCTTATGCCTGGCCACAATTATTTTTTGATATTCTTGCAATAGCCGTATCCTTTTATAATCTCAAATGAGATGCATCATTTTTTACCCTCTCAAATGATTCTTGAGATTATAGAACCCTGGGTTCAGTGGTTTACCCTTAGAACCGCGACACGAATTTCTACAGACTTCTAGCAGAAAGGATTGCTGAAGAAAGTCCTTCACTGTTGCTGATGAGAAATCAGAAACTACATCAATCTGAGTTTTCTTTTATAAGTAATGGAAATTTAATCTTCTCTTTCTGGAAGCTTCTAAGATAGGTCAGTTATTCTTGGTGTGCTAAAAACTTTCTAAGTTCTTCTTTGTGTCAGTCCTTTTTAATTGTCAAATCAGCACAGTTTAAAGACCAATGCCTTTCTGCAGCTCTAGAAAATTCTACTCTATTTTGTTAGCTTTTTCCCTCCATTTCCCAAGTTTTCTCCTTTCTTGAACTAGATCAGTATTGACTCATTTATTGGCTGATTCTATTCTATTTTACATTTCTTTACCTCTTTGTCCAAAATATGAGAGATTCATTTGACAATATCTTCAATCTCTTCAATGCAATTTTATTTTTTCCAATTTCTGAAATACGTTGTATTACAAATTCCAAAAGTCCACCCAGAAACTCTCTCCATACTGACATGCAACCAGGGCTTCAAAGTTGTCTCCACAATCCACACAACAGCAAAAAAACAAAGAAGACAAAATCAACAATTCTTAGATTTATCAGAGAACTGAAGTCCCAGCACAAGCTAGAAACCCAAAAAGTAGAAAGGGAGACAGATATGGGTACAGAGAGTTACAACTCACTGTGGCTAAAACTCATGAGCAGAAACCTCCAAGGGAATAAGCAGCAGGGCAGGAAAGCCAGACCTGTCCTTCATGAAATGTTGAAGACCTAACATAGACAATTCTGAAAGAAAAATTCTCCAGGGACCCAGTCTTCTAGGGTCACCCACACTTCCATAAATTCCAGGATTCCTGGAAGTAAAATCGCCACTTTGAAATATGCCAGAATATCCAGTTCTTCTTAACGATGCGTCCTTCAGAATAAACCATTTTAACCAAAGCCTAACCTATTTGGGCAAAGGAGAAGACCCAACTCCAGCTCCCTTTAATCTTTCTGTCTAACCTAAGGAGTGAGGATACTTAGGAGCTCTTATGAAGATCACAGCCCAGGGACATAGGCTTGCTAAAAGACTAAGGCCTAATTATAGGACTGTATAACACTTTCTTCTTCCCCATAAAAGAGCCTCCAAATAAGACTCTTGTGTGATTACAGAGGGAGACAACTAAAAGAATTGCATCACACGTTATTTAAGAAGTCTGTAGGGAAACCCAAAGACAACAGGAAACCCAGTTCATTATGACTGACTTACAATAAAAATGTACAAGGCATATTAAAAGACAAAAGACACTTTTAAGAGACAGAATAGGCAAAACCGGACTCAGATATGGCAGTGATGTCAAAATTATCAGAGTAGACATTTAACAGCTATGATTGATGTGCTAAGAAATCTAATTGAAAAAGTGTACGAATCCAAAAGAGATGAGTAATGTAAGCACAGAGATGGATGATGTAAGAAAGAAATAAAAGAAAACTCTTGAAATAAGAAACACTGTAATAAAAATGAAGAGTGCTTTTGATGGGCTCATCAACAGAATGGAAACAGCTGAGGAAAGAATCAGGGAGCTTAAAGGAATGTCAACAAAAATGTCCAAAACTAAAATATAAAAGAAAAAGAGCAATGAAAAGATATAACAGAAAAATAGAGAACTGTGTAACAGTTACAAAAATGTATAATATACACATAATGGGAATTCCAGAGAAGAAGAAAGAGAGAAAGAAACAGAAAAAAATATTTGCAGCAA
This sequence comes from Homo sapiens, assembly GCF_000001405.40. Taxonomy (NCBI): domain Eukaryota; kingdom Metazoa; phylum Chordata; class Mammalia; order Primates; family Hominidae; genus Homo; species Homo sapiens. The sequence continues at coordinate 4,114,928 of NC_000010.11, read as the reverse complement.
TAATAACTGAGAATTTTCTAAAATTAATGATAGACACTAAACTGCAGGTCCAGGAAACTCAGAGTATTAATTAAGATATATACCAAAAAGTCTATTCTTAGGTACGTTATAAACAAACTGCAGAAAATCTAAACAGAAGCCACAAAAAAAAAAACACTTTTTCTATAAAGAAGCAAGGATAAGAATTACACCAGACATCACTTCAGACCATGCAAGCAAGAAAAGAGTGGAGTAAAATATTTAAAGTGTTAAAAGAATCATTAGCCCAGAATTCTGCATTCACTAAAATTATTCTTCAAAAGTGAAGGCTAAAGACTTTCTCAGACAAACAAAAACTGAGAAAATGTGTTGCTAGTCTAGCTGCCTTAGAAGAATAGTTAAAAGAAGTCCTTCAGAGAGAAGGAAATTATATAACTTGGACCTACATAAAGAAAGTATGATTGGGAGGCCAAGGCAGGCCAATTGCTTGAACTCAGGAGTTCAAGACCAGACTGGGTAACTTGGTGAGACCCTTTCTCTATAAAAAAATACAAAAATTATCTGGATGGTGGCTTACGTCCATTGTCCCAGCTACACGGGAGGCTGAGGTGGGAGGATCACTTGAGCCCAGTAATTCGGGGCTGCAGTGAGCTATGATTGTACCACTGCACTCCAGCCTGGGTGATAGAGTGAGAATTTATCTCAAAAAAAAAAAAAAATAGGAAAACAAACAAAAAAGAAAACGGAAGAAAAGCATGATAGGCATAAATGAGGATAAAATAAAATCTTTTATTTCTGTCCAGGATATTAATTACTGATTGAAAGTTTATTAATTATTGATTTTATTTATTTAAAAATTTATAGGCCTAATCAGATTGTCTACTTCTCCTTGTATGATTGTATCTGTCAAAGAAATGGTCCATTTCACCTATATTATTACATTTGTGGGGAAAGAATTGTTCATAGCACTTGTTTGTTCTCCTTTTAAGAAGAGATGGCCCCTCTTTCATTTCTGATGTTTGTAATTTGGATCTTTTCTCTTTTTCTCTCAGTTAACCTGGCTAGAAGTTTCTCATATCAATTTTATTTATCTTCTCAAAGAATCAGCTTTAATTTTATTGATTTTCTCTAATGATTTTATGCTTTCAGTTTCATTGATTTCTGCTCTAATTTTATTAATTCTTTTCTTTAGCTTACTTTGGATTTGTTTTTGTTTTCTAATTTCCTAAGGTAGAAATTTGATTATTCATTTTAGATTTATCTTCTTTTTTAATAGATGCATTTACTGCTACAAATTGCCCCGAGTACTGCTTTAACTGCATCCCACAAATTGAGAGCAGTCGTGTCTTTATTTTATTAGTTCTTGAGAGACTTCTTTCACCTATAGATAAGATGGATAACAACTGCAGAGTATGTGTTATATAGAAGACTTTTTTTTTTTTTTTTTTTTTTTTTTTTTGAGACAGATTCTCACTCTGTCGCCCAGGCTGGAGTGCAGTGGCACGATCTCCGCTCACTGCAAGCTCTGCCTCCTGGGTTCACGCCATTCTCCTGCCTCAGCCTCCCGAGTAGCTGGGACTATAGGCGCCCGCCACCACGCCCAGCTAATTTTTTGTATTTTTTTTTTTAGTGGAGATGGGGTTTCACCATAGCCAGGATGGTCTCGATCTCCTGACCTCGTGATCCACCCGCCTCGGCCTCCCAAAATGCTGGGATTACAGGCGTAAGCCAACGCGCTCTGTCAGAAGCATGTTTTTAATCTCCAGGTAAACTAGGTTTTTTCAAATATGCTTTCTGTTATTGGGATGAAGGTTTATATTAAAACACTCTATACTATTGCTCAGTATTTATGTAAATTTAAAACTGCTTCAGAAAAAGCCTTTAATTACAACAAGTATCAGAAAAATCAATCATGGTAAGTTAAACATTTTTTAAATATGAACTTTCACATTTTAAAATCTTTCCAGAATTATTTTAGAACTTTTAAATTCCTTTTTAGTGATAGTCTGCTCTTATTTTATAGAAGAATTACTTTCTTAAATTTCTCTCAGGATACTAATTGGAAACCATTTAAAATCTTTTCTGTTCCTTTAATATTTTGTATTATTTCCTCATTCTTGCCATTTTAGGGGGCAGGTACTAGTGTTTTCTTCTTATCTGGTGATCCTTGGTTGTTTGCTTATATTTATGAATGAAGGACTAGATAAATTATCAAAGGCTTCTCAGAATTTCTTCTGCAACCATGGAAGCCTGTTTCTCCACCAGTCCTCCCTTGAGTAAGTGAGTTGACTATTACCTTTGCATACCCAGGCAAGCTTTGGTGACAGGAACATTTCAGCCTGCAGTACACATGTGGGAAGCAGGAAGGAAGACTGGCTCCTCTCATCTCCATCCTTGACAGAATGAGGAAGGTTTGACTCTGGGCAATCCTAATTCTTCCCATGTTCAATGGGGGTGCACAGCACATTTAACTTTGAGAAAAGAGCCATGATCAAAAAGCTGTTGGGGGTGGAGGAGGTGGTGAGGAGAGGCATGTCTCTGTGTGAAAAGATTCCCACAGCTCTTCTATTGGCAGTTTTGCAATTAATGATATTGATCTCTGCCCCCCTTCTTATCCTCATTTTCCATACTTTTATTAAAAAGATCAGGGTGTCCCAAAGGACACGTCAGAAGACTGTGTCTTGCGCCTCCTCTAATGCTCTTTCCATGCACATTTCAGGCTATTGTTAACTCCGATGTATTTATAAATGACTCCAAATGTTTTCAGTGGTCTAGATATTTATCAATATTAGTGACCTGCCTTTTACAAATACATTTCTTTGTACTTCCATACCATTACTTAAGTGGGATTTTAGGGAAGAGAGGAAATAATTACATGTTCTCAAGATGCTGTCTTGAATTTGAAGAAACACACGAGCTTTCCATAAGCATTCTGTATTGGATATCTTCCATTTCTTGAATCAGAGCATAATATTCCACTTAGTACCTGCTCCATCATTTATTTACTTATTTTTTATTGTGTATATTTATCATCTTCTCAGATTTTACTCTTAAATTCATGATATAACAAATATTACTTTTGTTTGAGTGGATTTTGCCTTCATTTGAATTATTTTCATTGGACAAATTCCCAGAAATAGGATTACTGAATCAGAGAAGTTATTTATTTTTATAACTCAAATGGTTTTCCAAAGGAGTCAAGCCAATTTTTGCTGACACCAACAATAATGGAGAATGACAGTTTCTGTGCACTTTTTCACCTCTGGTCATTAAAACAGTTTTAAATATTTGCTTTTTATGACTTTTCAAAGCTTTCTTTCTTAGTTTGTTAAGTCTCTAATTATTACTTTTGCCTGGTTAATTAGTAAAACAAATGGTTTAAACAAAGAAATATCTTTTTTTTTAATTAAAGCCCAGCCTTCATTCAGATTTTTTTTATTTTAATGTGTTAACTTTTAGCTAATGGATTAAATGATATTAATTCGCACTCATTTTTATTTATTTATTTATTGTTTTGAGATGGAGTCTCACTCTGTCACCCAGGCTGGAGTGCAGTGATGCAATCTCGGCTCACCGCAACCTCTCCCCGCCGGAGTTAAGAGATCCTCCTGCCTCAGCTTCTGAAGTTGCTGGGATTACAGGTGCCCACCCCCATACCCAGCTAATTTTTGTGTTTTCAGTAGAGACGGGGTTTCACCATGTTGGCCAAACTAGTCTTCAACTCCTGACCTCAGGTGATCCATCCTCCTCAGCCTCCCAAAGTACTGGGATTAGAGGCATGAGCCAATGCGCCTAGACAATTCTCACATTTTAATCAATAATTTCAGCTTTCTCTACTTCCCAACTAAATCTAGTGCTCTATTTTTACTACAAATAAATTACTTTTTAACTGAGTAGTGTCTTTCTCTTGTCTGTAGAGTTGCAAATACAGCAGTCACAAAAGAGGAATAAACCAACTGACTTTAAAAGATTTAAAAAATCCCCTTAAAAAGTAACAGATTTTACAGTACCCACCAGCTACTTTTGAGACCAACCAATAACTGGTTAAACAAAGGACTTCTTGCATTGCATGCAAATATTGTATATAATTTTCAACACAATCTGTAACATAGATGTTGTCTGCTGCTATTATCTAGGCTTTGTTTTTGTTTTTTGTTTTTAACAGCTGACCAGAAGCAGCAATCTATAGAAGCTGTTTTAAATTAAAGTACTTATGTTAGGAAAACTCTTAGAAGAAAAGCAATGGTTTCCAGCAAGGCAAGAGAGGGGCAAATCGAAAAATAAATAAGTAAATAAATCATGTTGACAGATAATTTAAAAAACTTCTTCATAATAATGATCAATTGAGTCATCAAAAAATAGTTTAAAATCTTTTTAAGCCCCTCAGTTAAAAGAAATTATTTTTACATGTTTTAGAAAATAATATTCAATATATATTTTGAGCCTTAAAATTTTAAGTGGTTAACAGAAAAAAAAATACTTTTATCTTTGTTCAATATAGTTATAAAAATGAGAAATTCTTCATAAAAAGTAAATTGTGAATTTTAAGTTACAAAGTTAAATTCTGGCTGGCCGTGGTGACTTAAGCCTGTAATTATAGCACTTTGAGAGGCCAGGAGTTCGAGACCAGCCTGGCCAACATGGATAAAACCCCTCCTTAAAAAATACAAAAATTAGCTGGGCATGGTGGCACTCACCTGTGGTCCCAGCTACTTGGGAGGCTGAGGCATGAGAATCACTTGAGCCTGGGAGGCGAGAGCTGAGATTGCACCAGTGCACTCCAGCCGGGTGACAGAGTGAGACCCTGTCTCTCCCCATCAAAAAAAAAAAAAAGAAATTCTGAGTCTTATGGCACTGTGCTCTGTCACAAGGACACAGGCTTTCCCTGATTACTAGAATTCTAGCAGCAGTGGTCTGATGATAAATTTATAGGGATTTGATCAACTTGAGCAAAATAGAAATGTGTAATAATTAGTAAATAAAATACTGTATTATGAACTGATTAATTCTGAGCACAGAGGCTAAGGTCCTAATTTTGCATTATTGAAAATGTGTTCAGAAACAGTGCAGAGAGCTGAAAGGTAAATATAGATTGCAAAGGACTTGCAGCTCTTCAGGCCCCTGCCTTGACCAGCTGTTGTATTGGTATTGTATTTTCTTAAAGTAGATTATAGTTCAATTAGCTGAAAAACACTAATGACATGATTTCATGTAGTGATATATGATGATGATTCAGTATAAATCCTGTCCAAGAAACATAGTTTTTTGTTGACCTCTTTAAGTATTTTGGCCTTTTTGTGAAGATGTGAGTCAGTGCATTCCCAAGCAAATCAACACGGATATAAAGACATATCCATTATGTATGAACATGATGAAACGCAAGTGAAAATTATGTGCCTCAGTGGACTGCATTTTAAAATCTTATCGTTGTAACAAGGTTGAAACAGAATACTTAGCTGATGATGAAGTCAGTAACAAGAAGAACAGAATTAGATATTCAAATGTATTCACCCCATAACCTAAATCTGGTAGAAATTAGGAAAAATTCTCTGCTGAACCCCAGTTGAGCAGAGATTCTCATAATAACTGCTATGGTTTGAACGTTTCTCCCAAAGCACATGTGTTGGAAACTCAATCTCCAGTGCAGCCGTGTTGGGAGGCATGACCTGATAGGAGGTTTTGGGGTCAAGGGAGCACCGTCATCTTCATGAATGGAATAATGCCATCATTGCAGGGGTAGGCTTGTTATCACAGGAGTAAGTTCCTTATAAAAGGACAAGTTCAACCCCTTCTTTTTCTCATCCTCTCTTTGCCCTTCTGCCATGGGATGACTTAGTAAGAAAGCTGTCACCAGATGCCAGCTCCTCAGTCTTGGACTTCCCAGGATCCGGAACCATGAGCTAACAAAGCTTTGTTCTTCGTAAAGAACATACCAGAAAATCAAGAGATAACTTAAACTCCATGGTTTCTAAAAGAGCTGTAGTCAAATTGTATCATCCAAGACTCATGTGCTCTATTGCATGTGAACGAGGACAATAATAGCATCTGGTCCCCTGGGTGGCCTGTACTTCCCTCATTGTGCCCATTGTCCTCTCAGTGAGAAAGGAAGAGAAAGAGCTCTTGAATGTATTTGCAAAGAAACACACCTACATCCTGTTCTCATATTGTTTGAGATCAACGAATAATTGGTAAAACAAAGCCTTCCTTCTTGGCATTATGTGAAAATATTATATATGATTTCCAAGACAATCTTATAGGATAGATATTATTCTCGTCTCATTTTTCAGATGAGAACCAGGACAGCCAGAGAGTTTAAGCAATTTGTTCAAGGTTACACCTTAAATCAATAAGAGAGTGGACTTAAACCATGTCTAAATTTTAAAAGCCAGCATTCTTAACCATGAAGCTATATTGCCTCCCTAATGTGCTTGAAAGTGTCTACTTTAATCAGTCATGTTAGCACTGGATAACAACTCAATAATTGATGAAAATGGATAAAAATCAGTTATGATTGGATATTCTTTAAATTCTTAAAGGACAAAAGAGATTTTATGCCAGAGGAGACTTTGCACCCTTAGCGTATTTTTTTCTACCAATGCCAGCTAAAGCTTGCTTCATATAATACTTCTCAGGATCATAGGCTGACAGGGTGGTTTTCTCTCTTTTACCAAACACAGAGATCATACATTTAAGAATTACATGAAAATCTGCAATTATTCTTCTGGCATGACCTTTCCTCTGCTCCCAAACAGATTCTGTAAAACTCTGCCACAATGTGGAACGTTAAAGGAAAATAAGACGTTGTCTCAGCACCAGGATTCTTGTTCCTGAAGCTCTCAGCTTTTCTTAGCCAAGCAGCTTCTCAATTCTGAGGGCACACTAAGCAGTGAGGACATAGTTGTACATTACCCTCCCCTGGCCTGTGATGTAGGTAAGTGAAATTGTCATCACATAGAAGCTACAAACTGAAACATGTTCACAAAAGAATCAATGTGGATGACATGTCAGCCACTCTACCAAATCACATCCATAATCACATATTGCCAAAGACTAACAATGTTTTCCTCCCAAGTGAAAAAAAAATAACGTTTCCAGGTATCAGTGCTATCTTCTTTAGTTTATGAAAATAAATGAACATATTATTGCTGATTTTCTCACAAGTAAAGTCTTGAAATACCCAATATCTGAAAATGAACCAGAAGAAAAAGACTTAAAAGGAAGATTTTAAAACAAGCCGAGTATCGTTCTTTAAAATGAAATGAAAAAAAATGTTAATTTTTTTCGTGATGAGTCATCTTTTTTTGGATCGAATACACAATTCAAGTGTTACTAAATTCTTCAGCATCCTTGTCAATCTGTCTGCATTCAACACTCATCTTCAGGGGCTAACTCCGGTTTCACTTTTGCACGAACTCTTTGCTGTGGCAACCAATCCATAATGACTTCCCTTTTCTTGGAGATCCAAATGATCTTCATAACACTAAGTAATGTTTCAGATGTCCTTTCTACACATTACTGTTGTATCTACTGCAGCAGGAAGGGTGCCTACCACATGCATATTAACTGATAACATGTCTCAGCAGTTTTCATAGATGTTGCTTATTCTTGGATAGTGTGTCTCCAATTCACATTTGGGAAATTGTAGGGTTGTATTGACTCATTGGTTTACCCTAAGATAGAAGGGTGAAGATAGCTAAAATAGGGATTTAGTTGCACCTATATATACATATTTTAAAAATTGGACTGTCTAGTCTGGAAAATCCTTTTTTAATGTAGTCTAACACTGTTTCTTTTATTACATTCTCTTTCTAGACTCTATTGCTGAGTCTAAGAAAAAAGAAGGTATCTCCAAAAATGTACCAATACTTTACAGGTTGAGAATGAGTCTGATTTATTTTACTTTTTTATTTTATTTTATTTTATTGAGATGGAGTCTCGCTCTGTCACCCATGCTGGAGTGCAGTGGTGCGATCTCGGTTCACTGCAACCTCCACCTCCCAGGTTCATGTGATTCTCCTCCCTCAGCCTCCTGAGTACCTGGGATTACAGGTGCCTGCCACCACGCCCAGCTAATTTTTGTATTTTTGGTAGAGACGGGGTTTCACCATGTTGGTCAGGCTGGTCTCGAACTCCTGACTTCGTGATCTGTCCGCCTTGCCTCCAAAAGTGCTGTGATTACAGGCATCAGCCACTGCGCCTGGCCATAAGTCTGATCTTTTTACAACACCCTGCAGTTCTTCACTTCTTTGACTGCTGCCCCAATCTCAGCATCATGTGGAAATATGTATACTGGACCGAATGGAACAAGGGCTATCCTTATGGAGTGGACAGAATGGGCTGGCGTCACCCTGCTTCAGGTGTCGTGTTCACATCCTCTTCATGTTTATAGTCTTCAGCTTCACTTGCCTTCTTAGAGGCGATGTTTTGAAGAACACTAACTTAGGTCTTGTGCCCCTAACTATAAAAGTAAGCGACTTCGTAATACTTGCAGTCAGGTAATTGATTCCAAGAGGAATGCAGGGGTTAGAATTGCAATTTCCTGCAAAGGAAACACCCATGTTTGGTAGTTTTCTTAGTTGTCTCTCAGTTATTAACAGCCCTACTTATATTTGACAGACAAGTAATAATGTGGCCATCTATCTCTAAGACAGCAGAGCTGAATATAGTTCCAACTTTATAAATGAATTTTAAAAGCCCTACAGACAAATTTCATTAAAGTAAAGAATAAAAATTTGGTAAATGGAGTCTTTGGATTTTACTAACGAATAAATCTTTACTTTTCTACAACTGCTAATAAGGAACTCGAAGGTTGAATAAATAAAATGAACATTTCCTGTGTACTAATGCAGGCCTCTTTTAGCAAGGGTGTGTAGAATGCTTTTAAGATGACTGCATTTATACACCCTTACAATTAGACAAAAGCACGTCCCAGTATTCTGTTTAATAGTGGGTCAGCCATGGAAGAGCTCAGACATGTCACAAACAAAACCCAAAGAAGAGCCTCTATGTTCTATGTAGGCCCTTCTTACTACATAGAGATGTCCAAGTTCAGCATGATAATATATTTCACAACCATCGTGAAAAAATCAAGTTAAATATTGTACATATGGTCTTTTAGTAACAATAATGTAATTAACACGTTAATAAAAACAGGTCTTTCTTCATATGATGCAGAAATTATCCTTTCTTAGAAGAAATTATTTTTCTCTTAAGAAACAATTTTCACATATTTTTACTTTAAGTCAGAGGTCCCCAGCCCCTGGCCCGTGGACCAGTACTAGTCTGTGGCCTGTTAGAAACTGGGTGGCACAGCAGGGAGAAGAGAGCATTACCACCTGAACTCTGCCTCCTGTCAAATCAGCAACAGCATTAGATTCTCATAGGAGCACAAACCCTACTGTAAATTGCACTTGCAAGGGATCTAGGTTGCACATGCCTTATGAGAATCTAATGCCTGATGATCTGAGGTGGAACAGTTCCATCCCAAACCATCCCCCGAGTCCATGAAAAAAATTGTCTTCCATGAAACTGGTCCCTACTGCCAAAAAGGTCATGGGGCCACTGCTGTAAGTGAAGAGCTTCTGGGAGATTCTGAACATTAGCACATGGGAGAGTTGACCATTGATCTCTAAAACACATCTCCCACTTGAGCTTGGAAGATCCTTCCCAGGTGTCTATAGGTCCCAAGCTTTGCCATCCGCTCATCTCTTAAGATGGCTTCATATTTACAAGAAGCTTTCAATTTTGGTAAAAACGTGTTGTCCTACTAAGGATGTTGTCAGATTAGTGGTGTCTTAAAATGATCTTATTTTGTTGCATATATCAGTTACTTGATGAGATTCATTAGAATTCCTGTTATGTGGATTAAGAAGGCATAAACTGGAAAGAAATTATTTTTGGCTTCAAAGAATTTTCTGGTGTTGGAACCAACTTAGAAAAGACTGCCTTGTAAGAAACCCTCACATCCACCCACACACATAGAGAGCTATAGTGGGTCTATAAACTACCCAATGAATATAAACTATAGTCATCCAACAACCAAGCCTCGATTTCCCCATGGTCAACTTACTGGAAATGACTTTTCAAGCCATTCTGGCCTTTTGAGGGCAGGGAAATTTCTGACAAACCATTTGATGACAGCTACTCTGATATTAGGGAAGATATTATCCATCAAAATTATGAACAATAATCCTTAATTTCCATAAAACTATTCACTCATCTATCCTTGATGGCATAGTATATGCCAAGTGCCTGAGACTCTGGGACCCTGAGAAATGATGATGAACAACAGGACACAGCCCTTGCCCTTATGAAACACACAACACAGAAATAGCAATTTAGCAATTTTCTTTCCCTTTTTAACACCTGTATAGATCAAAAGGATTTTTTTTCTGAAACATATCTGTGCATTACATTAATTAGTCAATAAACCATAAACATTTACTATGTGCTAATCTCTGTGCCATTGACAAATGTGAATGCCTAAACAGTAAAAGATATGGATGATGAGTAACAAGAAATTATCATTTCATTGGAAGACAATGTAAATGCACAGAAAAAAATCTAGGAACTTAATAACTTAGTTAAGTTTTGATAAGTCAAAACTTTGATTTGATAAATCAAAGCTAGTTTTGATTGGTAGAGCCTTTGGGCAGTCAATTGAACTGGGCAAAATGTTGATTCAGGCATTGTAGCCACGTAAGAAGTCTGAATTACAGTTAAGAATGTTAAGGATGGAAGTGAAAATCATACCCCAGCTATTTTATTCAACAGAGACTTTTGAGCACCCACTGCATCTGGTAATGTGCTAAATGCAAGATCCTGGCATTACAGAAGTTAGCAAAAAGACAGAGCCTTGGCCAGCTAATGTGCTGGCCAGCTAATGAGGCAAGTACTATGAGTCCCACTTTACAGATAAAGGAAATGATCCCCATATAGGAATCCACATTCTTCAGAAAATAGATGGATGACCTGATATCTAAACACAGGCCCATACCTCAGAGATTTTGAAGACCTGTTGTTTTCTCCCTCTGCCATGCTGAATTTATGTCAGATCTGTTGTGAAATAAACCACTAAAATGAAATAAGTCACCATGTCAAAAGGAAGAAAGACTGGGAAAAGTTAGGGAACAGTCTGGGGCAAGTTGCTCCGTGTCATGGCAATAAATAATATACGATTATGGGAAGTCCACTACGTACGGGGCTAGCTGTGACGCACAGTGGTAGTCCCAGGGATTCAAAAGAGCCACTTGAAAACACTGGCAGAGGTCCTGAGGGCTAGGGATTTATTCAAAAGACAGGGATTCATAGAGGTAAATACGGTCGGGAAGGGCTTTTGGGCAATAACCTTTTTTCTCGTGGCTGTGAAAAGTGTGAAGGATTTGGGTAGGAAATGAACAGCAAAGCAAAGAGCAAAAATGAGTTAAGGTTTTGAACAAACAATGAATGGCATAACCAAAACAATGAGAGATACAGCAAAACATCTCTCTGCTGGGTGAGCATTGAGAAATTCCAAAGTTGCACCTACTAATACCACACCATCAGAAGATGGCACAACAAGCAATGTGTTTATTTAAACTCAAAATTAAAACTCATTGTTTTACTCCATTAGAAAAGGCTAGTTAACAGGCTGCCTCTTTGATTATTTCATTCTCAGTAATGTCTTGGAATGATATTTAAAAATTACTTCAAATACAAGTTACATACTATTTATTTAAAATCCATTTTCAAAATTCTTTTAAAAGTAATTACAGGAAATTATCTTCCTTTGTATCTTTCTGGCTGACACATCATATAAATCATCCAATGTGTCACATCTGATAAAGCCCATGTAATCATATTACATGACAGGAACTGCCTGTCATAAATAGACACAATAACCTAATTTGGGAAACTCAGACAAATACAATTTCATTTAAATTTTAGCTTAAAAACACTGGTGAAAGTCTACAGAGCATTGGTATATGGATGTGGCTTTGAAGAATATTTGTCACATTTTCTTCTTTCGATCCTGACAGTTATTTCAGTTTCATACTTTAGATATAAGCTCATAAAAATGCATAAAATAAAATATTTATAGCGAAAGTTAAGCAAAGAGAATGATATAATTATTGGGCTCAATTTGCACTTGGTTTGCTAATTAGTCTTTTTGAAGTTCAGTATTTATATGGTAGTCTCTTCCTTGGGCAGAAAGCTGGAACTCACCAATGACTCTATATTGAGAAAACCAGGGACTTTTAATAAAGAAACAAAGATAAACTCAAAATTGTATCTACATAGGTATACTGCTGATCTTTGAGTTTCATGATCAATAAGAACGTCACAAATGCAAGAAATGATGTCTCTTGGACCACAGAGAATATCGTTAGCAGAATTTGGCATGGAGAAGGCAGAATGGGATTGGAAGTTCTCAGCTCTTTCCGTTGGATACCGGTGGCTGCCAGGTAGGTGTAAACATAGCCACAGTGTTGGATAAGGTTTGGGTCAGCTCCACTCTAGCTGTTGTTCTGAGTTGGGCAACACTCTCCAGGGTGTGAGTGGCTATTCCCGTTACAAAGATTAAGGAAGCAAAAACTGGAGCCTTTGGGTGACTATAGGATACTGACGTGTTTGGATTTCTGCCTCTTGACCTTCAAATTGCTGTAATCACGTATCTCAGCAGAACTCCAAAGTGAATGCTAATAAAATATGCTAATTTGGCTCTATTATGACAATTGAACACCATATAATAAGGAATCTGTTAAATGTACAATGCTTTAAAATGTGTGTGTATGGTTATGCTTGTCTATTTTCATTCTCACTTGCTTGCAATCCAATATGTTTTATTTTTGAAACTGAAAACGGTGTGGTTTCAGCCACATTGCAAGGTTGCAATCACATGATAATCTGGGGTGTAAGCATTATCAGCACCAATTAATAGGGGGATAAGATCCACAATAAAACAATACACAAATGTCTCATAATCAGGTAACAATGAGTATTGGAGTGAGGATTAAAACACAAGCCTTCTGATGCTGGAATCCATGTTTTTAGTTCTCTGCAGGGCTGCCCTTTCACTAAGGCTAATGGGTCAAGCTATCTAGAGAACTGAAGAAGACAAAAACGAAAACTGAAAATGGCTGCAATTTCTTGATTCCAAAATGTAATCAATTCAAATATTTAAAATCACTTTGAGGCTGGGGGCGGTGGCTCATACCTGTAATCCCAGCACTTTGGGAGGCTGAGGCAGGTGGATCACCTGAGGTCAGGAGTTTGAGACCAGCCTGGCCAACATGGTGAAATCCCATCTCTACTAAAAATAAAAAAATAAGCTGGGTATGGTGGCGGGGGCCTGTAATCCCAGCTACTCAGGAGGTTGAGGCAGGAGAATCGCTTGAACCCTGGAGGCAGAGATTGCAGTGAGCCGAGATCGCACCATTGTGCTCCAGCCTGAGTGACAAGAGCGAGACTCTGTCTCAAAAATAAAATAAAATAAAATAAAATAATAAAATAAAATAAAATAAAATAAAATCACTTTGATAATAGCCAATTATAGAAAAAAAATAAAACACTGAAATAATTTTATACATTTTTTTCTGGAAGGCAATAAAAATGTTTATCTAGACAATGTATACTGCATTCCTCTGCAAGACATAATCAATGTTCATTTAATAGTCTAGAGATTCTTCTGAGAGATGTTCAGTTTTTTGCAATTTTGCATATCTTCATGGGGACTTGTTGGTTTTGGTAACCTGTAGTCATAATCTTTAGGATTAACTGTATAATTTCAAGAATTATTCAAAATAATAGTCTTTTTTATATTTCCAGTTTGATCAAGACTGTAGATTTATTTATGTTTTCATTGAATTACATCAGGACAGAAGTTAATAACTTTTTCTTGGAAGACATTGGAAACTGTAGATGGATATTTAGCACCTAGTAATAGTCTCTCATGATGCATGAATCTGTTACAACAACCTCTCTGCATGTAACAATGGCATGATCTATTGGAGATATTTACAAATTAGTACTACATTCAATTGGTATGTAGAAGCACTGACT